>NC_000012.12:34769407-34798337 GCF_000001405.40 Homo sapiens
ATCATTCTGAGAAACTACTTTGTCATGTGAGCGTTCAACTCACGGAGTTTAACCTTTCTTTTCAAGTGCTGTTTAGAATCACTCTCTTTTTAATATCTGCACGTGGAAAATTGGACCTCTTTGAGGCCTTCGTTGGAAAAGGGATTTCTTCATATAATGTTGGAGAAAGAATTCTCAGTAACTTCTTTGTGTCCTGTGTATTCAACTCACAGAGTTGAACCTTCTTTTAAATGGAGCAGATGGGAAACACTCTTTCTGTGATATTTGCAGTTGGAGATTTTAAGCGCTTATAGGCCAAAAGTAGAAAAGGAAAGAACTTCGTATAAAAAGTAGACAGAATCATTCTCAGAAACAACTTTGTGATGTGAGCGTTCAATTCACAGAGTTTAACCTTTCTTTTGATTGAGCAGTTTGGAAACACTCTCTTTGTAAAGTTTGCCAGTGGATATTTGGACACCTTTCAGGCCTTCGTTGGAAACGGGATTTCTTCATATAATGTTAGACAGAAGAATTCTCAGAAACTTATTTGTGTTATATTTATTCAACTAGCAGAATTGAAACTTCCTTTTGACAGAGCAGATTTGATACACTCCTTTTGTGGAATTTCCAGGTGCAGATTTCATTCGCTTTGAGGCCAATGGTAGAAAAGGACATATATTCGTAGAAAAACAAGAGAGAATCATTCTCAGAAACTACTTTGTGATGTGTGCGTTCAACTCGCAGAGTTTAACCTTTCCTTTCATAGAGCAGTTTGGAAAAACTCTCTTTGTAAAGTCTGAAAGTGGATATTTATACCTCTTTGAGGTCTTCTTTGGAAACGGGATTTCTTCATATAATGCTAGAAAGAAGAATTCTCAGTAACTTCTTTGTGGTGCCTGTATTCAACTCACAGAAGTGAACCAACCTTTAGACCGAGCAGATATGAAACACTCTTTTTGTTGAATTTACAGGTGGAGATTTCACGTTGTTTGTGGCCAATGGTAGAAAAGGAAATATTTTTTGTATAATAACTAGACAGAATCATTCTCACAAACTACTTTGTGATGTGTGCGTTCAAATCACAGAGTTTAACCTTTCTTTTCATAGAGCAGTTTGGAAACACTCTTTGCAAAGTCTGCAAGTGGATATTTAGACCTCTTTGAGGCCTTCTTTGGAAATGGGATTTCTTCATATACTGCTAGAAAGAAGAATTCTCAGTAACTGCTTTGTGTTGTGTGTATTCCACTCACAGACTTAAACCTTCCTTTAGAGAGAGGAGATTTGATACACTCATTTTGTGGAATTTGCAGGTGGAAATTTCAAGCGCTTTGAGGCCAAGGGTAGAAAAGGAAGTATCTTCGTATAAAATCTAGACAGAATCATTCTCAGAAACTACTTTTTGATGTGTGCATTCAACTCACAGATTTTAACCTTTCTTTTCATAGAGCAGCCTGGAAACACTCTGTTTGTAAAGTCTGCAAGAGGATATTTGGACCTCTTTGAGGCCTTCTTTGGAAACGGGATTTCTTCATATACTGCTAGACAGAATAAATCTTAATAACTTCCTTGTGTTGTGTGTATTCAACTCATAGAGTTGAAACTTCCTTTAGACAGAGCAGATGTGAAATACTCTTTTTGTGATATTTGCACGTGGAGATTTGTAGAGCTTTTAGGCCAAAGATAGAAAAGGATATATCTTCGTATAAAAACTATACAGAATCATTCTGAGAATCTACTTTGTGATGTGTGCCATCAATTCACAGAGTTTAACCTTTCTTTTCATGCAGCAGTTTGGAAACACTCTGTTTCAAAGTCTGCAAGAAGATATTTGGACCTCTTTGAGACTTTCCTTAGAAAAGGGATTTCTTCATATAATGCTAGACAGAAGAATTCTCAGTAACTTCTTTGTGTTGTGTGTATTCCACTCACAGACTTGAACCTTCCTTTAGAGAGAGCACATTTGACACACTCTTATTGTGGAATTTGCATGCGGAGATTTCAAGCTCTTTCTGGCCAAGGGTAGAAAAGGAAATATCTTCGTATAAAATCTAGACAGAATCATTCTGAGAAACTACTTTTTCATGTGTGCGTTCAACATACAGAGTTTAACCTTTCTTTTCATAGAGCTGTTTAGAAACACTCTCTTTGTGATATCTGCAAGTGGATAATTGGAGTTCTTTGAGGCCTTCGTTGGAAACGGGATTTCTTCATATAATGTTAGACAGAAGAATTCTAAGTAACTTCTTTGTGTTCTGTGTATTCAACTCACAGAGTTGAACCTTCTTTTAGAAGGAGCAGATGTGAAAATCTCTTTTTGTGATATTTGCAGTTGGAGATTTCGAGCGCTTATACGCCAAAAGTAGAAAAGGAAATATCTTCGTATAAAAAGTAGACAGAATCATTCTCAGAAACTACTTTGTGATGGGTGCGTTCAATTCACAGAGTTTAAACTTTCTTTTGATTGAGCAGTTTGGAGACACTCTCCTTGTAAATTCTGCAAGTGGATATATGGACCTCTTTGTGTCCTTCGTTGGAAACGTGATTTCTTCGTATAATGTTAGACAGAAGAATTCAAGTAACTTATTTCTGTTGTGTGCATTCAACTCACAGAGTTGAACTTCCCTTTAGACAGAGCAGATTTGAAACACTCTTTTTGTGGAATTTCCATGTGGAAATTTCAATCGCTTTGAGGCCAATGGTAGGAAAAGAAGTATCTTCGTATAAAAAGTAGACAGAATTATTCTCAGAAACTACTTTTTGATGTGTGCGTTCAACTCACAGAGTTTAACCTTTCTTTTCATGCAGCAGTGTGGAAACACTCTGGTTGGATAGTCCGCAAGAGGATATTTGGACCTCTTCGAGACTTTCCTTAGAAAAGGGATTTCTTCATATAATGCTAGACAGAAGAATTCTCAGTAACTTCTTTGTGTTGTGTGTATTCCACTCACAGACTTGAACCTTCCTTTAGAGAGAGCACATTTGATACACTCTTTTTGTGGAATTTGCATGTGGAGATTTCAAGCGCTTTCAGGCCAAGGGTAGAAAAGGTAGTATCTTCGTATAAAATCTAGACAGAATCATTCTGAGAAACTACTTTGTCATGTGAGCGTTCAACTCACAGAGTTTAACCTTTCTTTTCATAGTGCTGTTTAGAATCACTCTCTTTTTAATATCTGCACGTGGAAAATTGGACCTCTTTGAGGCCTTCGTTGGAAACGGGATTTCTTCATATACTGCTGGACAAAGAATTCTCAGTAACTTCTTTGTGTCCTGTGTATTCAACTCACAGAGTTGAACCTTCTTTTAAATGGAGCAGATGGGAAACACTCTTTCTGTGATATTTGCAGTTGGAGATTTTAAGCGCTTATAGGCCAAAAGTAGAAAAGGAAATAACTTCGTATAAAAAGTAGACAGAATCATTCTCAGAAACTACTTTGTGATGTGTGCGTTCAATTCACAGAGTTTAACCTTTCTTTTGATTGACCAGTTTGGAAACACTCTGTTTGTAAAGTTTGCCAGTGGATATTTGGACACCTTTGAGGCCTTCGTTGGAAACGGGATTTCTTCATATAATGTTAGACAGAAGAATTCTCAGAAACTTATTTGTGTTATATTTATTCAACTAGCAGAATTGAAACTTCCTTTTGACAGAGCAGATTTGATACACTCCTTTTGTGGAATTTCCAGGTGCAGATTTCATTCGCTTTGAGGCCAATGGTAGAAAAGGACATATATTCGTAGAAAAACAAGAGAGAATCATTCTCAGAAACTACTTTGTGATGTGTGCGTTCAACTCGCAGAGTTTAACCTTTCTTTTCATAGAGCAGTTTGGAAAAACTCTCTTTGTAAAGTCTGAAAGTGGATATTTATACCTCTTTGAGGCCTTCTTTGGAAACGGGATTTCTTCATATAATGCTAGAAAGAAGAATTCTCAGTAACTTCTTTGCGGTGCCTGTATTCAACTCACAGAAGTGAACCAACCTTTAGACCGAGCAGATGTGAAACACTCTTTTTGTTGAATTTACAGGTGGAGATTTCACGTTGTTTGTGGCCAATGGTAGAAAAGGAAATATTTTTTGTATAATAACTAGACAGAATCATTCTCACAAACTACTTTGTGATGTGTGCGTTCATATCACAGAGCTTAACCTTTCTTTTCATAGAGCAGTTTAGAAACACTCTTTGCAAAGTCTGCAAGTGGATATTTAGACCTCTTTGAGACCTTCTTTGGAAACGGGATTTCTTCATATACTGCTAGAAAGAAGAATTCTCAGTAACTGCTTTGTGTTGTGTGTATTCCACTCACAGACTTAAACCTTCCTTTAGAGAGAGGAGATTTGATACACTCATTTTGTGGAATTTGCAGGTGGAGATTTCAGGCTCTTTGAGGCCAATGGTAGAAGAGGAAATATCTTCGTATAAAAACTAGACAGAATCATTCTCAGAAACTACTTTGTGATGTGTGCGTTCAATTCACAGAGTTTAACCTTTCTTTTGATTGAGCAGTTTGGAAACACTCTGTTTGTAAAGTTTGCCAGTGGATATTTGGACACCTTTGAGGCCTTCGTTGGAAACGGGATTTCTTCATACAATGTTAGACAGAAGAATTCTCAGTAACTTTTTGGTGTTGTGTGTATTCAGCTCACAGAGTTGAACCTTCCTTTAGACAGAGCAGATTTCACACACTCTTTTCGTGGAATGTGAAGGTGGAGATTTCAAGCGCTTTAAGGGCAATGGTAGAAAAGGAAATATCTTCGTCTAAACAGTAGAGAGAATCATTCTGAGAAACTACTTTTTGATGTGTGCGTTCAACATACAGAGTTTAACTTTTCTTTTCATAGAGCTGTTTAGAAACACTCTCTTTGTAATATCTGCAAGTGGATAATTGGAGTTCTTTGAGGCCTTCGTTGGAAACGGGATTTCTTCATATAATGTTAGACAGAAGAATTCTCAGTAACTTCTTTGTGTTCTGTGTATTCAACTCACAGAGTTGAACCTTCTTTTAGAAGGAGCAGATGTGAAAATCTCTTTTTGTGATATTTGCAGTTGGAGATTTCGAGCGCTTATACGCCAAAAGTAGAAAAGGAAATATCTTCGTATAAAATATAGACAGAATCATTCTCAGAAACTACTTTGTGATGGGTGCGTTCAATTCACGGAGTTTAAACTTTCTTTTGATTGAGCAGTTTGGAGACACTCTCCTTGTAAATTCAGCAAGTGGATATATGGACCTCTTTGTGTCCTTCGTTGGAAACGTGATTTCTTCGTATAATGTTAGACAGAAGAATTCTCAGTAACTTATTTCTGTTGTGTGCATTCAACTCACAGAGTTGAACTTTCCTTTAGACAGAGCAGATTTGAAACACTCTTTTTGTGGAATTTCCATGTGGAAATTTCAATCGCTTTGAGGCCAATGGTAGAAAAAGAAATATCTTCGTATAAAAATTAGACAGAATCATTCTCAGAAACTACTTTGGGAAGTGTGCGTTCAACTCACAGAGTTTAACCTTTCTTTTCATGCAGCAGTGTGGAAACACTCTGGTTGGATAGTCCACAAGAGGATATTTGGACCTCTTCGAGACTTTCCTTAGAAAAGGGATTTCTTCATATAATGCTAGACAGAAGAATTCTCAGTAACTTCTTTCTGTTGTGTGTATTCCACTCACAGACTTGAACCTTCCTTTAGAGAGAGCACATTTGATACACTCTTTTTGTGGAAATTGCATGAGGAGATTTCAAGCGCTTTCAGGCCAAGGGTAGAAAAGGTAGTATCTTCGTATAAAATCTAGACAGGATCATTCTGAGAAACTACTTTGTGACGTGTGCATTCAACTCACAGAGTTTAACCTTTCTTTTCATAGTGCTGTTTAGAAACACTCTCTTTTTAATATCTGCATGTGGAAAATTGGACCTCTTTGAGGCCTTCGTTGGAAACGGGATTTCTTCATATAATGTTGGAGAAAGAATTCTCAGTAACTTCTTTGTGTCCTTTGTATTCAACTCACAGATTTGAACCTTCTTTTAGGCGGAGCAGATGTGAAACACTCTTTCTGTGATATTTGCAGTTGGAGATTTCAAGCGCTTATAGGCCAAAAGTAGAAAAGGAAATATCTTCGTATAAAAAGTAGACAGAATCATTCTCAGAAACTAATTTGTGATGTGTGCGTTCAATTCACAGAGTTTAACCTGTCTTTTGATTGAGCAGTTTGGAAACACTCTCTTTGTAAAGTCTGCCAGTGGATATTTGGCCACCTTTTAGGCCTTCGTTGGAAACGGGATTTCTTCATACAATGTTAGACAGAAGAATTCTCAGAAACTTATTTGTGTTATGTTTATTCAACTAGCAGAATTGAAACTTCCTTTTGACAGAGCAGATTTGATACACTCTTTTTGTGGAATTTCCAGGTGCAGATTTCAATCGCTTTGAGGCCAGTGGTAGAAAAGGACATATATTCGTAGAAAAACAAGAGAGAATCATTCTCAGAAACTACTTTGTGATGTGTGCGTTCAACTCGCAGAGTTTAACCTTTCTTTTCATAGAGCAGTTTGGAAAAACTCTCTTTGTAAAGTCTGCAAGTGGATATTTATACCTCTTTGAGGCCTTCTTTGGAAACGGGATTTCTTCATATAATGCTAGAAAGAAGAATTCTCAGTAACTTCTTTGTGGTGCCTGTATTCAACTCACAGAAGTGAACCAACCTTTAGACCGAGCAGATGTGAAACACTCTTTTTGTTGAATTTACAGGTGGAGATTTCACGTTGTTTGTGGCCAATGGTAGAAAAGGAAATATTTTTTGTATAATAACTAGACAGAATCATTCTCACAAACTACTTTGTGATGTGTGCGTTCAAATCACAGAGTTTAACCTTTCTTTTCATAGAGCAGTTTGGAAACACTCTTTGCAAAGTCTGCAAGTGGATATTTAGACCTCTTTGAGGCCTTCTTTGGAAACGGGATTTCTTCATATACTGTTAGAAAGAAGAATTCTCAGTAACTGCTTTGTGTTGTGTGTATTCCACTCACAGACTTAAACCTTCCTTTAGAGAGAGGAGATTTGATACACTCATTTTGTGGAATTTGCAGGTGGAGATTTCAGGCTCTTTGAGGCCAATGGTAGAAGAGGAAATATCTTCGTATAAAAACTAGACAGAATCATTCTCAGAAACTACTTTTTGATGTGTGTGTTCAATTCACGGATTTTAACCTTTCTTTGACTGAGCAGTTTGGAAACCCTCTCTGTAATGTCTGCAAGTGGATATTTGGGCTTCTTTGAGGCCTTCGTTGGAAACGGGATTTCTTCATATAATGCTAGACAGAAGAATTCTCAGAAACTTATTTGTGTTATATTTATTCAACTAGCAGAATTGAAACTTCCTTTTGACAGAGCAGATTTGATACACTCTTTTTGTGGAATTTCCAGGTGCAGATTTCAATCGCTTTGAGGCCAGTGGTAGAAAAGGACATATATTCATAGAAAAACAAGAGAGAATCATTCTCAGAAACTTCTTTGTGATGTGTGCGTTCAACTCGCAGAGTTTAACCTTTCTTTTCATAGAGCAGTTTGGAAAAACTCTCTTTGTAAGTCTGCAAGTGGATATTTATACCTCTTTGAGGCCTTCTTTGGAAAAGGGATTTCTTCATATAATGCTAGAAAGAAGAATTCTCAGTAACTTCTTTGTGGTGCCTGTATTCAACTCACAGAAGTGAACCAACCTTTAGACCGAGCAGATATGAAACACTCTTTTTGTTGAATTTACAGGTGGAGATTTCACGTTGTTTGTGGCCAATGGTAGAAAAGGAAATATTTTTTGTATAATAACTAGACAGAATCATTCTCACAAACTACTTTGTGATGTGTGCGTTCAAATCACAGAGTTTAACCTTTCTTTTCATAGAGCAGTTTGGAAACACTCTTTGCAAAGTCTGCAAGTGGATATTTAGACCTCTTTGAGGCCTTCTTTGGAAACGGGATTTCTTCATATACTGTTAGAAAGAAGAATTCTCAGTAACTGCTTTGTGTTGTGTGTATTCCACTCACAGACTTAAACCTTCCTTTAGAGAGAGGAGATTTGATACACTCATTTTGTGGAATTTGCAGGTGGAGATTTCAGGCTCTTTGAGGCCAATGGTAGAAGAGGAAATATCTTCGTATAAAAACTAGACAGAATCATTCTCAGAAACTACTTTTTGATGTGTGTGTTCAATTCACGGATTTTAACCTTTCTTTGACTGAGCAGTTTGGAAACCCTCTCTGTAATGTCTGCAAGTGGATATTTGGGCTTCTTTGAGGCCTTCGTTGGAAACGGGATTTCTTCATATAATGCTAGACAGAAGAATTCTCAGAAACTTATTTGTGTTATATTTATTCAACTAGCAGAATTGAAACTTCCTTTTGACAGAGCAGATTTGATACACTCTTTTTGTGGAATTTCCAGGTGCAGATTTCAATCGCTTTGAGGCCAATGGTAGAAAAGGACATATATTCGTAGAAAAACAAGAGAGAATCATTCTCAGAAACTACTTTGTGATGTGTGCGTTCAACTCGCAGAGTTTAACCTTTCTTTTCATAGAGCAGTTTGGAAAAACTCTCTTTGTAAAGTCTGCAAGTGGATATTTATACCTCTTTGAGGCCTTCTTTGGAAACGGGATTTCTTCATATAATGCTAGAAAGAAGAATTCTCAGTAACTTCTTTCTGTTGCCTGTATTCAACTCACAGAAGTGAACCAACCTTTAGACCGAGCAGATGTGAAACACTCTTTTTGTTGAATTTGCAGGTGGAGATTTCACGTGCTTTGTGGCCAATGGTAGAAAAGGAAATATTTTTGTGTGATAACTAGACAGAATCATTCTCACAAACTACTTTGTGATGTGTGCGTTCAAATCACAGAGTTTAACCTTTCTTTTCATAGAGCAGTTTGGAAACACTCTGTTTGCAAAGTCTGCAAGTGGATATTTAGACCTCTTTGAGGCCTTCTTTGGAAACGGGATTTCTTCATATACTGCTAGAAAGAAGAATTCTCAGTAACTGCTTTGTGTTGTGTGTATTCCACTCACAGACTTAAACCTTCCTTTAGAGAGAGGAGATTTGATACACTCATTTTGTGGAATTTGCAGGTGGAAATTTCAAGCGCTTTGAGGCCAAGGGTAGAAAAGGAAGTATCTTCGTATAAAATCTTGACAGAATCATTCTCAGAAACTACTTTTTGATGTGTGCGTTCAACTCACAGATTTTAACCTTTCTTTTCATAGAGCAGTCTGGAAACACTCTGTTTGTAAAGTCTGCAAGAGGATATTTGGACCTCTTTGAGCCCTTCTTTGGAAACGGGATTTCTTCATATACTGCTAGACAGAATAAATCTTAATAACTTCCTTGGGTTGTGTGTATTCAACTCATAGAGTTGAAACTTCCTTTAGAGAGAGCAGATGTGCAATACTCTTTTTTGTGATATTTGCACGTGGAGATTTCTAGCGCTTTTAGGCCAAAAACAGAAAAGGAAATACCTTTGTGCAAAAACTATACAGAATCATTCTGAGAATCTACTTTGTGATGTGTGAATTCAATTCACAGAGTTTAACCTTTCCTTTGATTGTGCAGTTTGGAAACACTCTCTTTGTAAATTCTGCAAGTGGATATATGGACCTCTTTTTGGCCTTCGTTGGAAAAGGTATTTCTTCATTGCATGTTAGACAGAAGAATTCTCAGAAACTTATTTGTGTTATATTTATTCAACTAGCAGAATTGAAACTTCCTTTTGACAGAGCAGATTTGATACACTCTTTTTGTGGAATTTCCAGGTGCAGATTTCAATCGCTTTGAGGCCAGTGGTAGAAAAGGACATATATTCGTAGAAAAACAAGAGAGAATCATTCTCAGAAACTACTTTGTGATGTGTGCGTTCAACTCGCAGAGTTTAACCTTTCTTTTCATAGAGCAGTTTGGAAAAACTCTCTTTGTAAAGTCTGCAAGTGGATATTTATACCTCTTTGAGGCCTTCTTTGGAAACGGGATTTCTTCATATAATGCTAGAAAGAAGAATTCTCAGTAACTTCTTTGTGGTGCCTGTATTCAACTCACAGAAGTGAACCAACCTTTAGACCGAGCAGATGTGAAACACTCTTTTTGTTGAATTTACAGGTAGAGATTTCACGTTGTTTGTGGCCAATGGTAGAAAAGGAAATATTTTTTGTATAATAACTAGACAGAATCATTCTCACAAACTACTTTGTGATGTGTGCGTTCAAATCACAGAGTTTAACCTTTCTTTTCATAGAGCAGTTTGGAAACACTCTTTGCAAAGTCTGCAAGTGGATATTTAGACCTCTTTGAGGCCTTCTTTGGAAACGGGATTTCTTCATATACTGTTAGAAAGAAGAATTCTCAGTAACTGCTTTGTGTTGTGTGTATTCCACTCACAGACTTAAACCTTCCTTTAGAGAGAGGAGATTTGATACACTCATTTTGTGGAATTTGCAGGTGGAAATTTCAAGCGCTTTGAGGCCAAGGGTAGAAAAGGAAGTATCTTCGTATAAAATCTAGACAGAATCATTCTGAGAAACTACTTTGTGATGTGTGCATTCAATTCATAGAGTTTAAACTTTCTTTTTCATAGAGCAGTTTGGTAACACTCTGTTTGTAAAGTCTGCAAGTGGACATTTGGACCTCTTTGAGGCCTCCGTTGGAAACGGGATTTCTTCATATACTGCTAGACAGAAGAATTCTCAGTAAATTCTTTGTGTTGTGTGTATTCCACTCACAGACTTGAACTTTTCAGTTGAGAGAGGAGATTTCATACACTCTTTTTGTGGAATTTGCAGGTGGAGATTTCAAGCGCTTTCAGGCCAAGGGTAGAAAAGGAAGTATCTTCGTAAAAAATCTAGACAGAATCATTCTCAGAAACGACTTTGTGAAGTGTGCGTTCAACTCACAGAGTTTAACCTTTCTTTTCATGCAGCAGTGTGGAAACACTCTGGTTGGATAGTCCACAAGAGGATATTTGGACCTCTTCGAGACTTTCCTTAGAAAACGGATTTCTTCATATAATGCTAGACAGAAGAATTCTCAGTAACTTCTTTGTGTTGTGTGTATTCCACCCACAGACTTGAACCTTCCTTTAGAGAGAGCACATTTGATACACTCTTTTTGTGGAAATTGCATGAGGAGATTTCAAGCGCTTTCAGGCCAAGGGTAGAAAAGGTAGTATCTTCGTATAAAATCTAGACAGGATCATTCTGAGAAACTACTTTGTGACGTGTGCATTCAACTCACAGAGTTTAACCTTTCTTTTCATAGTGCTGTTTAGAAACACTCTCTTTTTAATATCTGCATGTGGAAAATTGGACCTCTTTGAGGCCTTCGTTGGAAACGGGATTTCTTCATATAATGTTGGAGAAAGAATTCTCAGTAACTTCTTTGTGTCCTGTGTATTCAACTCACAGAGTTGAACCTTCTTTTAAATGGAGCAGATGGGAAACACTCTTTCTGTGATATTTGCAGTTGGAGATTTTAAGCGCTTATAGGCCAAAAGTAGAAAAGGAAAGAACTTCGTATAAAAAGTAGACAGAATCATTCTCAGAAACTACTTTGTGATGTGAGCGTTCAATTCACAGAGTTTAACCTTTCTTTTGATTGAGCAGTTTGGAAACACTCTCTTTGTAAAGTTTGCCAGTGGATATTTGGACACCTTTGAGGCCTTCGTTGGAAACGGGATTTCTTCATATAATGTTAGACAGAAGAATTCTCAGAAACTTATTTGTGTTATATTTATTCAACTAGCAGAATTGAAACTTCCTTTTGACAGAGCAGATTTGATACACTCCTTTTGTGGAATTTCCAGGTGCAGATTTCATTCGCTTTGAGGCCAATGGTAGAAAAGGACATATATTCGTAGAAAAACAAGAGAGAATCATTCTCAGAAACTACTTTGTGATGTGTGCATTCAACTCGCAGAGTTTAACCTTTCCTTTCATAGAGCAGTTTGGAAAAACTCTCTTTGTAAAGTCTGAAAGTGGATATTTATACCTCTTTGAGGTCTTCTTTGGAAACGGGATTTCTTCATATAATGCTAGAAAGAAGAATTCTCAGTAACTTCTTTGTGGTGCCTGTATTCAACTCACAGAAGTGAACCAACCTTTAGACCGAGCAGATGTGAAACACTCTTTTTGTTGAATTTACAGGTGGAGATTTCACGTTGTTTGTGGCCAATGGTAGAAAAGGAAATATTTTTTGTATAATAACTAGACAGAATCATTCTCACAAACTACTTTGTGATGTGTGCGTTCAAATCACAGAGTTTAACCTTTCTTTTCATAGAGCAGTTTGGAAACACTCTTTGCAAAGTCTGCAAGTGGATATTTAGACCTCTTTGAGGCCTTCTTTGGAAACGGGATTTCTTCATATACTGCTAGAAAGAAGAATTCTCAGTAACTGCTTTGTGTTGTGTGTATTCCACTCACAGACTTAAACCTTCCTTTAGAGAGAGGAGATTTGATACACTCATTTTGTGGAATTTGCAGGTGGAAATTTCAAGCGCTTTGAGGCCAAGGGTAGAAAAGGAAGTATCTTCGTATAAAATCTAGACAGAATCATTCTCAGAAACTACTTTTTGATGTGTGCATTCAACTCACAGATTTTAACCTTTCTTTTCATAGAGCAGCCTGGAAACACTCTGTTTGTAAAGTCTGCAAGAGGATATTTGGACCTCTTTGAGGCCTTCTTTGGAAACGGGATTTCTTCATATACTGCTAGACAGAATAAATCTTAATAACTTCCTTGTGTTGTGTGTATTCAACTCATAGAGTTGAAACTTCCTTTAGACAGAGCAGATGTGAAATACTCTTTTTGTGATATTTGCACGTGGAGATTTGTAGAGCTTTTAGGCCAAAGATAGAAAAGGATATATCTTCGTATAAAAACTATACAGAATCATTCTGAGAATCTACTTTGTGATGTGTGCGATCAATTCACAGAGTTTAACCTTTCTTTTCATGCAGCAGTTTGGAAACACTCTGTTTCAAAGTCTGCAAGAAGATATTTGGACCTCTTTGAGACTTTCCTTAGAAAAGGGATTTCTTCATATAATGCTAGACAGAAGAATTCTCAGTAACTTCTTTGTGTTGTGTGTATTCCACTCACAGACTTGAACCTTCCTTTAGAGAGAGCACATTTGACACACTCTTATTGTGGAATTTGCATGCGGAGATTTCAAGCTCTTTCTGGCCAAGGGTAGAAAAGGAAATATCTTCGTATAAAATCTAGACAGAATCATTCTGAGAAACTACTTTTTCATGTGTGCGTTCAACATACAGAGTTTAACCTTTCTTTTCATAGAGCTGTTTAGAAACACTCTCTTTGTGATATCTGCAAGTGGATAATTGGAGTTCTTTGAGGCCTTCGTTGGAAACGGGATTTCTTCATATAATGTTAGACAGAAGAATTCTAAGTAACTTCTTTGTGTTCTGTGTATTCAACTCACAGAGTTGAACCTTCTTTTAGAAGGAGCAGATGTGAAAATCTCTTTTTGTGATATTTGCAGTTGGAGATTTCGAGCGCTTATACGCCAAAAGTAGAAAAGGAAATATCTTCGTATAAAAAGTAGACAGAATCATTCTCAGAAACTACTTTGTGATGGGTGCGTTCAATTCACAGAGTTTAAACTTTCTTTTGATTGAGCAGTTTGGAGACACTCTCCTTGTAAATTCTGCAAGTGGATATATGGACCTCTTTGTGTCCTTCGTTGGAAACGTGATTTCTTCGTATAATGTTAGACAGAAGAATTCTCAGTAAATTCTTTGTATTGTGTGTATTCCAATCACAGACTTGAACTTTTCAGTTGAGAGAGGAGATTTCATACACTCTTTTTGTGGAATTTGCAGGTGGAGATTTCAAGCGCTTTCAGGCCAAGGGTAGAAAAGGAACTATCTTCGTAAAAAATCTAGACAGAATCATTCTCAGAAACTACTTTGTGAAGTGTGCTTTCAACTCACAGAGTTTAACCTTTCTTTTCATGCAGCAGTGTGGAAACACTCTGGTTGGACAGTCCGCAAGAGGATATTTGGACCTCTTCGAGCCTTTCCTTAGAAAAGGGTTTTCTTCATATAATGCTAGACAGAAGAATTCTCAGTAACTTCTTTGTGTTGTGTGTATTCCACTCACAGACTTGAACCTTCCTTCAGAGAGAGCACATTTGATACACTCTTTTTGTGGAATTTGCATGTGGAGATTTCAAGCGCTTTCAGGCCAAGGGTAGAAAAGGTAGTATCTTCGTACAAAATCTAGACAGAATCATTCTGAGAAACTACTTTGTCATGTGAGCGTTCAACTCACAGAGTTTAACCTTTCTTTTCATAGTGCTGTTTAGAATCACTCTCTTTTTAATATCTGCACGTGGAAAATTGGACCTCTTTGAGGCCTTCGTTGGAAACGGGATTTCTTCATATACTGCTGGACAAAGAATTCTCAGTAACTTCTTTGTGTCCTGTGTATTCAACTCACAGAGTTGAACCTTCTTTTAATTGGAGCAGATGGGAAACACTCTTTCTGTGATATTTGCAGTTGGAGATTTTAAGCGCTTATAGGCCAAAAGTAGAAAAGGAAAGAACTTCGTATAAAAAGTAGACAGAATCATTCTCAGAAACTACTTTGTGATGTGAGCGTTCAATTCACAGAGTTTAACCTTTCTTTTGATTGAGCAGTTTGGAAACACTCTCTTTGTAAAGTTTGCCAGTGGATATTTGGACACCTTTGAGGCCTTCGTTGGAAACGGGATTTCTTCATATAATGTTAGACAGAAGAATTCTCAGAAACTTATTTGTGTTATATTTATTCAACTAGCAGAATTGAAACTTCCTTTTGACAGAGCAGATTTGATACACTCCTTTTGTGGAATTTCCAGGTGCAGATTTCATTCGCTTTGAGGCCAATGGTAGAAAAGGACATATATTCGTAGAAAAACAAGAGAGAATCATTCTCAGAAACTACTTTGTGATGTGTGCGTTCAACTCGCAGAGTTTAACCTTTCCTTTCATAGAGCAGTTTGGAAAAACTCTCTTTGTAAAGTCTGAAAGTGGATATTTATACCTCTTTGAGGTCTTCTTTGGAAACGGGATTTCTTCATATAATGCTAGAAAGAAGAATTCTCAGTAACTTCTTTGTGGTGCCTGTATTCAACTCACAGAAGTGAACCAACCTTTAGACCGAGCAGATGTGAAACACTCTTTTTGTTGAATTTACAGGTGGAGATTTCACGTTGTTTGTGGCCAATGGTAGAAAAGGAAATATTTTTTGTATAATAACTAGACAGAATCATTCTCACAAACTACTTTGTGATGTGTGCGTTCAAATCACAGAGTTTAACCTTTCTTTTCATAGAGCAGTTTGGAAACACTCTTTGCAAAGTCTGCAAGTGGATATTTAGACCTCTTTGAGGCCTTCTTTGGAAATGGGATTTCTTCATATACTGCTAGAAAGAAGAATTCTCAGTAACTGCTTTGTGTTGTGTGTATTCCACTCACAGACTTAAACCTTCCTTTAGAGAGAGGAGATTTGATACACTCATTTTGTGGAATTTGCAGGTGGAAATTTCAAGCGCTTTGAGGCCAAGGGTAGAAAAGGAAGTATCTTCGTATAAAATCTAGACAGAATCATTCTCAGAAACTACTTTTTGATGTGTGCATTCAACTCACAGATTTTAACCTTTCTTTTCATAGAGCAGCCTGGAAACACTCTGTTTGTAAAGTCTGCAAGAGGATATTTGGACCTCTTTGAGGCCTTCTTTGGAAACGGGATTTCTTCATATACTGCTAGACAGAATAAATCTTAATAACTTCCTTGTGTTGTGTGTATTCAACTCATAGAGTTGAAACTTCCTTTAGACAGAGCAGATGTGAAATACTCTTTTTGTGATATTTGCACGTGGAGATTTGTAGAGCTTTTAGGCCAAAGATAGAAAAGGATATATCTTCGTATAAAAACTATACAGAATCATTCTGAGAATCTACTTTGTGATGTGTGCGATCAATTCACAGAGTTTAACCTTTCTTTTCATGCAGCAGTTTGGAAACACTCTGTTTCAAAGTCTGCAAGAAGATATTTGGACCTCTTTGAGACTTTCCTTAGAAAAGGGATTTCTTCATATAATGCTAGACAGAAGAATTCTCAGTAACTTCTTTGTGTTGTGTGTATTCCACTCACAGACTTGAACCTTCCTTTAGAGAGAGCACATTTGACACACTCTTATTGTGGAATTTGCATGCGGAGATTTCAAGCTCTTTCTGGCCAAGGGTAGAAAAGGAAATATCTTCGTATAAAATCTAGACAGAATCATTCTGAGAAACTACTTTTTCATGTGTGCGTTCAACATACAGAGTTTAACCTTTCTTTTCATAGAGCTGTTTAGAAACACTCTCTTTGTGATATCTGCAAGTGGATAATTGGAGTTCTTTGAGGCCTTCGTTGGAAACGGGATTTCTTCATATAATGTTAGACAGAAGAATTCTAAGTAACTTCTTTGTGTTCTGTGTATTCAACTCACAGAGTTGAACCTTCTTTTAGAAGGAGCAGATGTGAAAATCTCTTTTTGTGATATTTGCAGTTGGAGATTTCGAGCGCTTATACGCCAAAAGTAGAAAAGGAAATATCTTCGTATAAAAAGTAGACAGAATCATTCTCAGAAACTACTTTGTGATGGGTGCGTTCAATTCACAGAGTTTAAACTTTCTTTTGATTGAGCAGTTTGGAGACACTCTCCTTGTAAATTCTGCAAGTGGATATATGGACCTCTTTGTGTCCTTCGTTGGAAACGTGATTTCTTCGTATAATGTTAGACAGAAGAATTCTCAGTAACTTATTTCTGTTGTGTGCATTCAACTCACAGAGTTGAACTTTCCTTTAGACAGAGCAGATTTGAAACACTCTTTTTGTGGAATTTCCATGTGGAAATTTCAATCGCTTTGAGGCCAATGGTAGAAAAAGAAATATCTACGTATAAAAATTAGACAGAATCATTCTCAGAAACTACTTTTTGATGTGTGCGTTCAACTCACAGAGTTTAACCTTTCTTTTCATGCAGCAGTGTGGAAACACTCTGGTTGGATAGTCCGCAAGAGGATATTTGGACCTCTTCGAGACTTTCCTTAGAAAAGGGATTTCTTCATATAATGCTAGACAGAATAATTCTCAGTAACTTCTTTGTGTTGTGTGTATTCCACTCACAGACTTGAACCTTCCTTTAGAGAGAGCACATTTGATACACTCTTTTTGTGGAATTTGCATGTGGAGATTTCAAGCGCTTTCAGGCCAAGTGTAGAAAAGGTAGTATCTTCGTATAAAATCTAGACAGAATCATTCTGAGAAACTACTTTGTCATGTGAGCGTTCAACTCACAGAGTTTAACCTTTCTTTTCATAGTGCTGTTTGTAATCACTCTCTTTTTAATATCTGCACGTGGAAAATTGGTCCTCTTTGAGGCCTTCGTTGGAAATGGGATTTCTTCATACGCTGCTGGACAAAGAATTCTCAGTAACTTCTTTGTGTCCTGTGTATTCAACTCACAGATTTGAACCTTCTTTTAGGCGGAGCAGATGTGAAACACTCTTTCTGTGATATTTGCAGTTGGAGATTTCAAGCGATTATAGGCCAAAAGTAGAAAAGGAAATATCTTCGTATAAAAAGTAGACAGAATCATTCTCAGAAACTACTTTGTGATGTGTGCGTTCAATTCACAGAGTTTAACCTTTCTTTTGATTGAGCAGTTTGGAAACACTCTCTTTGTAAATTCTGCCAGTAGATATATGGACCTCTTTGAGTCCTTCGTTGGAAACGGGATTTCTTCATATAATGCTAGACAGAATAATTCTCTGTAACTTCTTTGTGTTGTGTGTATTCAAGTCACAGAGTTGAACATTCCTTTAGACAGAGCAGATGTGAAACACTCTTTCTGTGATATTTGCAGATGGAGATTTCAAGCGCATTTAGGCCACATGTAGAAGAGGAAATATCTTCGTATAAAAACTAGACAGAATCATTCTCAGAAACTACTTTGTGATGTGAGCGTTCAATTCACAGAGTTTAACCTTTCTTTTGATTGAGCAGTTTGGAAACACTCTCTTTGTAAAGTTTGCCAGTGGATATTTGGACACCTTTCAGGCCTTCGTTGGAAACGGGATTTCTTCATATAATGTTAGACAGAAGAATTCTCAGAAACTTATTTGTGTTATATTTATTCAACTAGCAGAATTGAAACTTCCTTTTGACAGAGCAGATTTGATACACTCCTTTTGTGGAATTTCCAGGTGCAGATTTCATTCGCTTTGAGGCCAATGGTAGAAAAGGACATATATTCGTAGAAAAACAAGAGAGAATCATTCTCAGAAACTACTTTGTGATGTGTGCATTCAACTCGCACAGTTTAACCTTTCCTTTCATAGAGCAGTTTGGAAAAACTCTCTTTGTAAAGTCTGAAAGTGGATATTTATACCTCTTTGAGGTCTTCTTTGGAAACGGGATTTCTTCATATAATGCTAGAAAGAAGAATTCTCAGTAACTTCTTTGTGGTGCCTGTATTCAACTCACAGAAGTGAACCAACCTTTAGACCGAGCAGATGTGAAACACTCTTTTTGTTGAATTTACAGGTGGAGATTTCACGTTGTTTGTGGCCAATGGTAGAAAAGGAAATATTTTTTGTATAATAACTAGACAGAATCATTCTCACAAACTACTTTGTGATGTGTGCGTTCAAATCACAGAGTTTAACCTTTCTTTTCATAGAGCAGTTTGGAAACACTCTTTGCAAAGTCTGCAAGTGGATATTTAGTCCTCTTTGAGGCCTTCTTTGGAAATGGGATTTCTTCATATACTGCTAGAAAGAAGAATTCTCAGTAACTGCTTTGTGTTGTGTGTATTCCACTCACAGACTTAAACCTTCCTTTAGAGAGAGGAGATTTGATACACTCATTTTGTGGAATTTGCAGGTGGAAATTTCAAGCGCTTTGAGGCCAAGGGTAGAAAAGGAAGTATCTTCATATAAAATCTAGACAGAATCATTCTCAGAAACTACTTTTTGATGTGTGCGTTCAACTCACAGATTTTAACCTTTCTTTTCATAGAGCAGCCTGGAAACACTCTGTATGTAAAGTCTGCAAGAGGATATTTGGACCTCTTTGAGGCCTTCGTTGGAAACAGGATTTCTTCATATACTGCTAGACAGAATAAATCTTAATAACTTCCTTGGGTTGTGTGTATTCAACTCATAGAGTTGAAACTTCCTTTAGACAGAGCAGATGTGAAATACTCTTTTTGTGATATTTGCACGTGGAGATTTGTAGAGCTTTTAGGCCAAAGATAGAAAAGGATATATCTTCGTATAAAAACTATACAGAATCATTCTGAGAATCTACTTTGTGATGTGTGCGATCAATTCACAGAGTTTAACCTTTCTTTTCATGCAGCAGTTTGGAAACACTCTGTTTCAAAGTCTGCAAGAAGATATTTGGACCTCTTTGAGACTTTCCTTAGAAAAGGGATTTCTTCATATAATGCTAGACAGAAGAATTCTCAGTAACTTCTTTGTGTTGTGTGTATTCCACTCACAGACTTGAACCTTCCTTTAGAGAGAGCACATTTGACACACTCTTATTGTGGAATTTGCATGCGGAGATTTCAAGCTCTTTCTGGCCAAGGGTAGAAAAGGAAATATCTTCGTATAAAATCTAGACAGAATCATTCTGAGAAACTACTTTTTCATGTGTGCGTTCAACATACAGAGTTTAACCTTTCTTTTCATAGAGCTGTTTAGAAACACTCTCTTTGTGATATCTGCAAGTGGATAATTGGAGTTCTTTGAGGCCTTCGTTGGAAACGGGATTTCTTCATATAATGTTAGACAGAAGAATTCTAAGTAACTTCTTTGTGTTCTGTGTATTCAACTCACAGAGTTGAACCTTCTTTTAGAAGGAGCAGATGTGAAAATCTCTTTTTGTGATATTTGCAGTTGGAGATTTCGAGCGCTTATACGCCAAAAGTAGAAAAGGAAATATCTTCGTATAAAAAGTAGACAGAATCATTCTCAGAAACTACTTTGTGATGGGTGCGTTCAATTCACAGAGTTTAAACTTTCTTTTGATTGAGCAGTTTGGAGACACTCTCCTTGTAAATTCTGCAAGTGGATATATGGACCTCTTTGTGTCCTTCGTTGGAAACGTGATTTCTTCGTATAATGTTAGACAGAAGAATTCAAGTAACTTATTTCTGTTGTGTGCATTCAACTCACAGAGTTGAACTTCCCTTTAGACAGAGCAGATTTGAAACACTCTTTTTGTGGAATTTCCATGTGGAAATTTCAATCGCTTTGAGGCCAATGGTAGGAAAAGAAGTATCTTCGTATAAAAAGTAGACAGAATTATTCTCAGAAACTACTTTTTGATGTGTGCGTTCAACTCACAGAGTTTAACCTTTCTTTTCATGCAGCAGTGTGGAAACACTCTGGTTGGATAGTCCGCAAGAGGATATTTGGACCTCTTCGAGACTTTCCTTAGAAAAGGGATTTCTTCATATAATGCTAGACAGAATAATTCTCAGTAACTTCTTTGTGTTGTGTGTATTCCACTCACAGCACTTGAACCTTCCTTTAGAGAGAGCACATTTGATACACTCTTTTTGTGGAATTTGCATGTGGAGATTTCAAGAGCTTTCAGGCCAAGGGTAGAAAAGGTAGTATCTTCGTATAAAATCTAGACAGAATCATTCTGAGAAACTACTTTGTCATGTGAGCGTTCAACTCACAGAGTTTAACCTTTCTTTTCATAGTGCTGTTTAGAATCACTCTCTTTTTAATATCTGCACGTGGAAAATTGGACCTCTTTGAGGCCTTCGTTGGAAACGGGATTTCTTCATATACTGCTGGACAAAGAATTCTCAGTAACTTCTTTGTGTCCTGTGTATTCAACTCACAGAGTTGAACCTTCTTTTAAATGGAGCAGATGGGAAACACTCTTTCTGTGATATTTGCAGTTGGAGATTTTAAGCGCTTATAGGCCAAAAGTAGAAAAGGAAATATCTTCGTATAAAAAGTAGACAGAATCATTCTCAGCAACTACTTTGTGATGTGAGCGTTCAATTCACAGAGTTTAACCTTTCTTTTGATTGAGCAATTTGGAAACACTCTCTTTGTAAAGTTTGCCAGTGGATATTTGGACACCTTTGAGGCCTTCGTTGGAAACGGGATTTCTTCATATAATGTTAGACAGAAGAATTCTCAGAAACTTATTTGTGTTATATTTATTCAACTAGCAGAATTGAAACTTCCTTTTGACAGAGCAGATTTGATACACTCCTTTTGTGGAATTTCCAGGTGCAGATTTCAATCGCTTTGAGGCCAATGGTAGAAAAGGACATATATTCGTAGAAAAACAAGAGAGAATCATTCTCAGAAACTACTTTGTGATGTGTGCGTTCAACTCGCAGAGTTTAACCTTTCTTTTCATAGAGCAGTTTGGAAAAACTCTCTTTGTAAAGTCTGCAAGTGGATATTTATACCTCTTTGAGGCCTTCTTTGGAAACGGGATTTCTTCATATAATGCTAGAAAGAAGAATTCTCAGTAACTTCTTTGTGGTGCCTGTATTCAACTCACAGAAGTGAACCAACCTTTAGACCGAGCAGATATGAAACACTCTTTTTGTTGAATTTACAGGTGGAGATTTCACGTTGTTTGTGGCCAATGGTAGAAAAGGAAATATTTTTTGTATAATAACTAGACAGAATCATTCTCACAAACTACTTTGTGATGTGTGCGTTCAAATCACAGAGTTTAACCTTTCTTTTCATAGAGCAGTTTGGAAACACTCTTTGCAAAGTCTGCAAGTGGATATTTAGACCTCTTTGAGGCCTTCTTTGGAAACGGGATTTCTTCATATACTGTTAGAAAGAAGAATTCTCAGTAACTGCTTTGTGTTGTGTGTATTCCACTCACAGACTTAAACCTTCCTTTAGAGAGAGGAGATTTGATACACTCATTTTGTGGAATTTGCAGGTGGAAATTTCAAGCGCTTTGAGGCCAAGGGTAGAAAAGGAAGTATCTTCGTATAAAATCTAGACAGAATCATTCTCAGAAACTACTTTTTGATGTGTGCATTCAACTCACAGATTTTAACCTTTCTTTCCATAGAGCAGCCTGGAAACACTCTGTTTGTAAAGTCTGCAAGAGGATATTTGGACCTCTTTGAGGCCTTCTTTGGAAACGGGATTTCTTCATATACTGCTAGACAGAATAAATCTTAATAACTTCCTTGTGTTGTGTGTATTCAACTCATAGAGTTGAAACTTCCTTTAAACAGAGCAGATGTGAAATACTCTTTTTGTGATATTTGCACGTGGAGATTTGTAGAGCTTTTAGGCCAAAGATAGAAAAGGATATATCTTCGTATAAAAACTATACAGAATCATTCTGAGAATCTACTTTGTGATGTGTGCGATCAATTCACAGAGTTTAACCTTTCTTTTCATGCAGCAGTTTGGAAACACTCTGTTTCAAAGTCTGCAAGAAGATATTTGGACCTCTTTGAGACTTTCCTTAGAAAAGGGATTTCTTCATATAATGCTAGACAGAAGAATTCTCAGTAACTTCTTTGTGTTGTGTGTATTCCACTCACAGACTTGAACCTTCCTTTAGAGAGAGCACATTTGACACACTCTTATTGTGGAATTTGCATGCGGAGATTTCAAGCTCTTTCTGGCCAAGGGTAGAAAAGGAAATATCTTCGTATAAAATCTAGACAGAATCATTCTGAGAAACTACTTTTTCATGTGTGCGTTCAACATACAGAGTTTAACCTTTCTTTTCATAGAGCTGTTTAGAAACACTCTCTTTGTGATATCTGCAAGTGGATAATTGGAGTTCTTTGAGGCCTTCGTTGGAAACGGGATTTCTTCATATAATGTTAGACAGAAGAATTCTAAGTAACTTCTTTGTGTTCTGTGTATTCAACTCACAGAGTTGAACCTTCTTTTAGAAGGAGCAGATGTGAAAATCTCTTTTTGTGATATTTGCAGTTGGAGATTTCGAGCGCTTATACGCCAAAAGTAGAAAAGGAAATATCTTCGTATAAAAAGTAGACAGAAACATTCTCAGAAACTACTTTGTGATGTGTGCGTTCAATTCACAGAGTTTAACCTTTCTTTTGATTGAGCAGTTTGGAAACACTCTCTTTGTAAATTCTGCAAGTGGATATATGGACCTCTTTGAGTCCTTCGTTGGAAACGGGATTTCTTCATATTCTGCTAGACAGAAGAATTCAAGTAACTTATTTCTGTTGTGTGCATTCAACTCACAGAGTTGAACTTCCCTTTAGACAGAGCAGATTTGAAACACTCTTTTTGTGGAATTTCCATGTGGAAATTTCAATCGCTTTGAGGCCAATGGTAGGAAAAGAAGTATCTTCGTATAAAAAGTAGACAGAATTATTCTCAGAAACTACTTTTTGATGTGTGCGTTCAACTCACAGAGTTTAACCTTTCTTTTCATGCAGCAGTGTGGAAACACTCTGGTTGGATAGTCCGCAAGAGGATATTTGGACCTCTTCGAGACTTTCCTTAGAAAAGGGATTTCTTCATATAATGCTAGACAGAATAATTCTCAGTAACTTCTTTGTGTTGTGTGTATTCCACTCACAGACTTGAACCTTCCTTTAGAGAGAGCACATTTGATACACTCTTTTTGTGGAATTTGCATGTGGAGATTTCAAGCGCTTTCAGGCCAAGGGTAGAAAAGGTAGTATCTTCGTATAAAATCTAGACAGAATCATTCTGAGAAACTACTTTGTCATGTGAGCGTTCAACTCACAGAGTTTAACCTTTCTTTTCATAGTGCTGTTTAGAATCACTCTCTTTTTAATATCTGCACGTGGAAAATTGGACCTCTTTGAGGCCTTCGTTGGAAACGGGATTTCTTCATATACTGCTGGACAAAGAATTCTCAGTAACTTCTTTGTGTCCTGTGTATTCAACTCACAGAGTTGAACCTTCTTTTAAATGGAGCAGATGGGAAACACTCTTTCTGTGATATTTGCAGTTGGAGATTTTAAGCGCTTATAGGCCAAAAGTAGAAAAGGAAATAACTTCGTATAAAAAGTAGACAGAATCATTCTCAGAAACTACTTTGTGATGTGAGCGTTCAATTCACAGAGTTTAACCTTTCTTTTGATTGAGCAGTTTGGAAACACTCTCTTTGTAAAGTTTGCCAGTGGATATTTGGACACCTTTGAGGCCTTCGTTGGAAACGGGATTTCTTCATATAATGTTAGACAGAAGAATTCTCAGAAACTTATTTGTGTTATATTTATTCAACTAGCAGAATTGAAACTTCCTTTTGACAGAGCAGATTTGATACACTCTTTTTGTGGAATTTCCAGGTGCAGATTTCAATCGCTTTGAGGCCAATGGTAGAAAAGGACATATATTCGTAGAAAAACAAGAGAGAATCATTCTCAGAAACTACTTTGTGATGTGTGCGTTCAACTCGCAGAGTTTAACCTTTCCTTTCATAGAGCAGTTTGGAAAAACTCTCTTTGTAAAGTCTGAAAGTGGATATTTATACCTCTTTGAGGTCTTCTTTGGAAACGGGATTTCTTCATATAATGCTAGAAAGAAGAATTCTCAGTAACTTCTTTCTGTTGCCTGTATTCAACTCACAGAAGTGAACCAACCTTTAGACCGAGCAGATGTGAAACACTCTTTTTGTTGAATTTGCAGGTGGAGATTTCACGTGCTTTGTGGCCAATGGTAGAAAAGGAAATATTTTTGTGTGATAACTAGACAGAATCATTCTCACAAACTACTTTGTGATGTGTGCGTTCAAATCACAGAGTTTAACCTTTCTTTTCATAGAGCAGTTTGGAAACACTCTGTTTGCAAAGTCTGCAAGTGGATATTTAGACCTCTTTGAGGCCTTCTTTGGAAACGGGATTTCTTCATATACTGCTAGAAAGAAGAATTCTCAGTAACTGCTTTGTGTTGTGTGTATTCCACTCACAGACTTAAACCTTCCTTTAGAGAGAGGAGATTTGATACACTCATTTTGTGGAATTTGCAGGTGGAAATTTCAAGCGCTTTGAGGCCAAGGGTAGAAAAGGAAGTATCTTCGTATAAAATCTAGACAGAATCATTCTCAGAAACTACTTTTTGATGTGTGCATTCAACTCACAGATTTTAACCTTTCTTTTCATAGAGCAGCCTGGAAACACTCTGTTTGTAAAGTCTGCAAGAGGATATTTGGACCTCTTTGAGGCCTTCTTTGGAAACAGGATTTCTTCATATACTGCTAGACAGAATAAATCTTTATAACTTCCTTGTGTTGTGTGTATTCAACTCATAGAGTTGAAACTTCCTTTAGACAGAGCAGATGTGAAATACTCTTTTTGTGATATTTGCACGTGGAGATTTGTAGAGCTTTTAGGCCAAAGATAGAAAAGGATATATCTTCGTATAAAAACTATACAGAATCATTCTGAGAATCTACTTTGTGATGTGTGCGATCAATTCACAGAGTTTAACCTTTCTTTTCATGCAGCAGTTTGGAAACACTCTGTTTCAAAGTCTGCAAGAAGATATTTGGACCTCTTTGAGACTTTCCTTAGAAAAGGGATTTCTTCATATAATGCTAGACAGAAGAATTCTCAGTAACTTCTTTGTGTTGTGTGTATTCCACTCACAGACTTGAACCTTCCTTTAGAGAGAGCACATTTGACACACTCTTATTGTGGAATTTGCATGCGGAGATTTCAAGCTCTTTCTGGCCAAGGGTAGAAAAGGAAATATCTTCGTATAAAATCTAGACAGAATCATTCTCAGAAACTACTTTTTGATGTGTGCGTTCAACTCACAGATTTTAACCTTTCTTTTCATAGAGCAGCCTGGAAACACTCTGTTTGTAAAGTCTGCAAGAGGATATTTGGACCTCTTTGAGGCCTTCGTTGGAAACGGGATTTCTTCATATAATGTTAGACAGAAGAATTCTCAGTAACTTCTTTGTGTTCTGTGTATTCAACTCACAGAGTTGAACCTTCTTTTAGAAGGAGCAGATGTGAAAATCTCTTTCTGTGATATTTGCAGTTGGAGATTTCGAGCACTTATACGCCAAAAGTAGAAAAGGAAATATCTTCGTATAAAAAGTAGACAGAATCATTCTCAGAAACTACTTTGTGATGGGTGCGTTCAATTCACAGAGTTTAAACTTTCTTTTGATTGAGCAGTTTGGAGACACTCTCCTTGTAAATTCTGCAAGTGGATATATGGACCTCTTTGTGTCCTTCGTTGGAAACGTGATTTCTTCGTATAATGTTAGACAGAAGAATTCAAGTAACTTATTTCTGTTGTGTGCATTCAACTCACAGAGTTGAACTTCCCTTTAGACAGAGCAGATTTGAAACACTCTTTTTGTGGAATTTCCATGTGGAAATTTCAATCGCTTTGAGGCCAATGGTAGGAAAAGAAGTATCTTCGTATAAAAAGTAGACAGAATCATTCTCAGAAACGACTTTGTGAAGTGTGCGTTCAACTCACAGAGTTTAACCTTTCTTTTCATGCAGCAGTGTGGAAACACTCTGGTTGGATAGTCCACAAGAGGATATTTGGACCTCTTCGAGACTTTCCTTAGAAAAGGGACTTCTTCATATAATGCTAGACAGAAGAATTCTCAGTAACTTCTTTGTGTTGTGTGTATTCCACTCACAGACTTGAACCTTCCTTTAGAGAGAGCACATTTGATACACTCTTTTTGTGGAATTTGCATGTGGAGATTTCAAGCGCTTTCAGGCCAAGTGTAGAAAAGGTAGTATCTTCGTATAAAATCTAGACAGAATCATTCTGAGAAACTACTTTGTGACGTGTGCATTCAACTCACAGAGTTTAACCTTTCTTTTCATAGTGCTGTTTAGAAACACTCTCTTTTTAATATCTGCACGTGGAAAATTGGACCTCTTAGAGGCCTTCGTTGGAAACGGGATTTCTTCATATAATGTTGGAGAAAGAATTCTCAGTAACTTCTTTGTGTCCTGTGTATTCAATTCACAGGTTTGAAACTTCTTTTAGGCGGAGCAGATGTGAAACACTCTTTCTGTGACATTTGCAGTTGGAGATTTCAAGCGCTTATAGGCCAAAAGTAGAAAAGGAAATATCTTCGTATAAAAAGTAGACAGAATCATTCTCAGAAACTACTTTGTGATGTGTGCGTTCAATTCACAGAGTTTAACCTTTCTTTTGATTGAGCAGTTTGGAAATACTCTCTTTGTAAATTCTGCAAGTGGATATATGGACCTCTTTGAGTCCTTCGTTGGAAACGGGATTTCTTCATATAATGCCAGACAGAAGAATTCAAGTAACTTATTTCTGTTGTGTGCATTCAACTCACAGAGTTGAACTTCCCTTTAGACAGAGCAGATTTGAAACACTCTTTTTGTGGAATTTCCATGTGGAAATTTCAATCGCTTTGAGGCCAATGGTAGGAAAAGAAGTATCTTCGTATAAAAAGTAGACAGAATCATTCTCAGAAACTACTTTTTGATGTGTGCGTTCAACTCACAGAGTTTAACCTTTCTTTTCATGCAGCAGTGTGGAAACACTCTGGTTGGATAGTCCGCAAGAGGATATTTGGACCTCTTTGAGACTTTCCTTAGAAAAGGGATTTCTTCATATAATGCTAGACAGAAGAATTCTCAGTAACTTCTTTGTGTTGTGTGTATTCCACTCACAGACTTGAACCTTCCTTTAGAGAGAGCACATTTGATACACTCTTTTTGTGGAAATTGCATGAGGAGATTTCAAGCGCTTTCAGGCCAAGGGTAGAAAAGGTAGTATCTTCGTATAAAATCTAGACAGGATCATTCTGAGAAACTACTTTGTCATGGGAGCATTCAACTCACACAGTTTAACCTTTTCTTTCATAGTGCTGTTTAGAATCACTCTCTTTCTAATATCTGCACGTGGAAAATTGGACCTCTTTGAGGCCTTCGTTGGAAACGGGATTTCTTCATATACTGCTGGACAAAGAATTCTCAGTAACTTCATTGTGTCCTGTGTATTCAACTTACAGATTTGAACCTTCTTTTAGGCGGAGCAGATGTGAAACACTCTTTCTGTGATATTTGCAGTTGGAGATTTCAAGCACTTATAGGCCAAAAGTAGAAAAGGAAATATCTTCGTAGAAAAAGTAGACAGAATCATTCTCAGAAACTACTTTGTGATGTGTGCGTTCAATTCACAGAGTTTAACCTTTCTTTTGATTGAGCAGTTTGGAAACACTCTCTTTGTAAAGTTTGCCAGTGGATATTTGGACACCTTTGAGGCCTTCGTTGGAAACGGGATTTCTTCATATAATGTTAGACAGAAGAATTCTCAGAAACTTATTTGTGTTATATTTATTCAACTAGCAGAATTGAAACTTCCTTTTGACAGAGCAGATTTGATACACTCTTTTTGTGGAATTTCCAGGTGCAGATTTCAATCGCTTTGAGGCCAATGGTAGAAAAGGACATATATTCGTAGAAAAACAAGAGAGAATCATTCTCAGAAACTACTTTGTGATGTGTGCGTTCAACTCGCCGAGTTTAACCTTTCTTTTCATAGAGCAGTTTGGAAAAACTCTCTTTGTAAAGTCTGCAAGTGGATATTTATACCTCTTTGAGGCCTTCTTTGGAAACGGGATTTCTTCATATAATGCTAGAAAGAAGAATTCTCAGTAACTTCTTTTTGGTGCCTGTATTCAACTCACAGAAGTGAACCAACCTTTAGACCGAGCAGATGTGAAACACTCTTTTTGTTGTGTTGGGTATAAACATGGAACATTGCAAACAATGGGCCACAACACTTCACTCTTCCCTGTATATATGCCTTTTGCAAAGTGATCCTGCTGGCCTTGGGCCTTACTTTGGCCAATAGAATGCAGCAGATGTGACAGTGTGCCA
>NC_000012.12:34798437-34816611 GCF_000001405.40 Homo sapiens
ATCATTCTCACAAACTACTTTGTGATGTGTGCATTCAAATCACAGAGTTTAACCTTTCTTTTCATAGAGCAGTTTGGAAACACTCTGTTTGCAAAGTCTGCAAGTGGATATTTAGACCTCTTTGAGGCCTTCTTTGGAAACGGGATTTCTTCATATACTGCTAGAAAGAAGAATTCTCAGTAACTGCTTTGTGTTGTGTGTATTCCACTCACAGACTTAAACCTTCCTTTAGAGAGAGGAGATTTGATACACTCATTTTGTGGAATTTGCAGGTGGAAATTTCAAGCGCTTTGAGGCCAAGGGTAGAAAAGGAAGTATCTTCGTATAAAATCTTGACAGAATCATTCTCAGAAACTACTTTTTGATGTGTGCGTTCAACTCACAGATTTTAACCTTTCTTTTCATAGAGCAGCCTGGAAACACTCTGTTTGTAAAGTCTGCAAGAGGATATTTGGACCTCTTTGAGGCCTTCTTTGGAAACAGGATTTCTTCATATACTGCTAGACAGAATAAATCTTAATAACTTCCCTTGTGTTGTGTGTATTCAACTCATAGAGTTGAAACTTCCTTTAGACAGAGCAGATGTGAAATACTCTTTTTGTGATATTTGCACGTGGAGATTTGTAGAGCTTTTAGGCCAAAGATAGAAAAGGATATATCTTCGTATAAAAACTATACAGAATCATTCTGAGAATCTACTTTGTGATGTGTGCGATCAATTCACAGAGTTTAACCTTTCTTTTCATGCAGCAGTTTGGAAACACTCTGTTTCAAAGTCTGCAAGAAGATATTTGGACCTCTTTGAGACTTTCCTTAGAAAAGGGATTTCTTCATATAATGCTAGACAGAAGAATTCTCAGTAACTTCTTTGTGTTGTGTGTATTCCACTCACAGACTTGAACCTTCCTTTAGAGAGAGCACATTTGACACACTCTTATTGTGGAATTTGCATGCGGAGATTTCAAGCTCTTTCTGGCCAAGGGTAGAAAAGGAAATATCTTCGTATAAAATCTAGACAGAATCATTCTGAGAAACTACTTTTTCATGTGTGCGTTCAACATACAGAGTTTAACCTTTCTTTTCATAGAGCTGTTTAGAAACACTCTCTTTGTGATATCTGCAAGTGGATAATTGGAGTTCTTTGAGGCCTTCGTTGGAAACGGGATTTCTTCATATAATGTTAGACAGAAGAATTCTAAGTAACTTCTTTGTGTTCTGTGTATTCAACTCACAGAGTTGAACCTTCTTTTAGAAGGAGCAGATGTGAAAATCTCTTTTTGTGATATTTGCAGTTGGAGATTTCGAGCGCTTATACGCCAAAAGTAGAAAAGGAAATATCTTCGTATAAAAAGTAGACAGAATCATTCTCAGAAACTACTTTGTGATGGGTGCGTTCAATTCACAGAGTTTAAACTTTCTTTTGATTGAGCAGTTTGGAGACACTCTCCTTGTAAATTCTGCAAGTGGATATATGGACCTCTTTTGTCCTTCGTTGGAAACGTGATTTCTTCGTATAATGTTAGACAGAAGAATTCTCAGTAACTTATTTCTGTTGTGTGCATTCAACTCACAGAGTTGAACTTTCCTTTAGACAGAGCAGATTTGAAACACTCTTTTTGTGGAATTTCCATGTGGAAATTTCAATCTCTTTGAGGCCAATGGTAGAAAAAGAAATATCTTCGTATAAAAAGTAGACAGAATCATTCTCAGAAACTACTTTTTGATGTGTGCGTTCAACTCACAGAGTTTAACCTTTCTTTTCATGCAGCAGTGTGGAAACACTCTGGTTGGATAGTCCGCAAGAGGATATTTGGACCTCTTTGAGACTTTCCTTAGAAAAGGGATTTCTTCATATAATGCTAGACAGAATAATTCTCAGTAACTTCTTTGTGTTGTGTGTATTCCACTCACAGACTTGAACCTTCCTTTAGAGAGAGCACATTTGATACACTCTTTTTGTGGAATTTGCATGTGGAGATTTCAAGAGCTTTCAGGCCAAGGGTAGAAAAGGTAGTATCTTCGTATAAAATCTAGACAGAATCATTCTGAGAAACTACTTTGTCATGTGAGCGTTCAACTCACAGAGTTTAACATTTCTTTTCATAGTGCTGTTTAGAATCACTCTCTTTTTAATATCTGCACGTGGAAAATTGGACCTCTTTGAGGCCTTCGTTGGAAACGGGATTTCTTCATATACTGCTGGACAAAGAATTCTCAGTAACTTCTTTGTGTCCTGTGTATTCAATTCACAGGTTTGAAACTTCTTTTAGGCGGAGCAGATGTGAAACACTCTTTCTGTGACATTTGCAGTTGGAGATTTCAAGCGCTTACAGGCCAAAAGTAGAAAAGGAAATATCTTCGTATAAAAAGTAGACAGAATCATTCTCAGAAACTACTTTGTGATGTGAGCGTTCAATTCACAGAGTTTAACCTTTCTTTTGATTGAGCAGTTTGGAAACACTCTCTTTGTAAAGTTTGCCAGTGGATATTTGGACACCTTTCAGGCCTTCGTTGGAAACGGGATTTCTTCATATAATGTTAGACAGAAGAATTCTCAGAAACTTATTTGTGTTATGTTTATTCAACTAGCAGAATTGAAACTTCCTTTTGACAGAGCAGATTTGATACACTCTTTTTGTGGAATTTCCAGGTGCAGATTTCAATCGCTTTGAGGCCAGTGGTAGAAAAGGACATATATTCGTAGAAAAACAAGAGAGAATCATTCTCAGAAACTACTTTGTGATGTGTGCGTTCAACTCACAGAGTTTAACCTTTCTTTTCATGCAGCAGTGTGGAAACACTCTGGTTGGATAGTCCGCAAGAGGATATTTGGACCTCTTTGAGACTTTCCTTAGAAAAGGGATTTCTTCATATAATGCTAGACAGAAGAATTCTCAGTAACTTCTTTGTGTTGTGTGTATTCCACTCACAGACTTGAACCTTCCTTTAGAGAGAGCACATTTGATACACTCTTTTTGTGGAATTTGCATGTGGAGATTTCAAGAGCTTTCAGGCCAAGTGTAGAAAAGGTAGTATCTTCGTATAAAATCTAGACAGAATCATTCTGAGAAACTACTTTGTCATGGGAGCGTTCAACTCACAGAGTTTAACCTTTCTTTTCATAGTGCTGTTTAGAATCACTCTCTTTTTAATATCTGCACGTGGAAAATTGGACCTCTTTGAGGCCTTCGTTGGAAATGGGATTTCTTCATACGCTGCTGGACAAAGAATTCTCAGTAACTTCTTTGTGTCCTGTGTATTCAACTCACAGATTTGAACCTTCTTTTAGGCGGAGCAGATGTGAAACACTCTTTCTGTGATATTTACAGTTGGAGATTTCAAGCGCTTATAGGCCAAAAGTAGAAAAGGAAATATCTTCGTATAAAAAGTAGACAGAATCATTCTCAGAAACTACTTTGTGATGTGTGCGTTCAATTCACAGAGTTTAACCTTTCTTTTGATTGAGCAGTTTGGAAACACTCTCTTTGTAAATTCTGCCAGTAGATATATGGACCTCTTTGAGTCCTTCGTTGGAAACGGGATTTCTTCATATAATGCTAGACAGAATAATTCTCTGTAACTTCTTTGTGTTGTGTGTATTCAACTCACAGAGTTGAACATTCCTTTAGACAGAGCAGATGTGAAACACTCTTTCTGTGATATTTGCAGATGGAGATTTCAAGCGCATTTAGGCCACATGTAGAAGAGGAAATATCTTCATATAAAAACTAGACAGAATCATTCTCAGAAACTACTTTGTGATGTGTGCGTTCAATTCACAGAGTTTAACCTTTCTTTTGATTGAGCAGTTTGGAAACACTCTCTTTGTAAAGTTTGCCAGTGGATATTTGGACACCTTTGAGGCCTTCGTTGGAAACGGGATTTCTTCATATAATGTTAGACAGAAGAATTCTCAGTAACTTCCTTGTGTTGTTTGTATTCAACTCACAGATTTGAACCTTCCTTTAGACAGAGCATAAGTGAGACACTCTTTTTGTGATATTTGCAAGTGGAGATTTGAAGCTCTTCTATGCCAAAGATAGAAAAGGATGTATCTTCGTATAAAAACTAGACAGAATCATTCTGAGAATCTACTTTGTGATGTGTGCAATCAATTCACAGAGTTTAACCTTTCTTTTCATGCAGCAGTTTGGAAACACTCTGTTTCAAAGTCTGCAAGAAGATATTTGGACCTCTTTGAGACTTTCCTTAGAAAAGGGATTTCTTCATATAATGCTAGACAGAAGAATTCTCAGTAACTTCTTTGTGTTGTGTGTATTCCACTCACAGACTTGAACCTTCCTTTAGAGAGAGCACATTTGACACACTCTTATTGTGGAATTTGCATGCGGAGATTTCAAGCTCTTTCTGGCCAAGGGTAGAAAAGGAAATATCTTCGTATAAAATCTAGACAGAATCATTCTGAGAAACTACTTTTTCATGTGTGCGTTCAACATACAGAGTTTAACCTTTCTTTTCATAGAGCTGTTTAGAAACACTCTCTTTGTGATATCTGCAAGTGGATAATTGGAGTTCTTTGAGGCCTTCGTTGGAAACGGGATTTCTTCATATAATGTTAGACAGAAGAATTCTAAGTAACTTCTTTGTGTTCTGTGTATTCAACTCACAGAGTTGAACCTTCTTTTAGAAGGAGCAGATGTGAAAATCTCTTTTTGTGATATTTGCAGTTGGAGATTTCGAGCGCTTATACGCCAAAAGTAGAAAAGGAAATATCTTCGTATAAAAAGTAGACAGAATCATTCTCAGAAACTACTTTGTGATGGGTGCGTTCAATTCACAGAGTTTAAACTTTCTTTTGATTGAGCAGTTTGGAGACACTCTCCTTGTAAATTCTGCAAGTGGATATATGGACCTCTTTGTGTCCTTCGTTGGAAACGTGATTTCTTCGTATAATGTTAGACAGAAGAATTCTCAGTAACTTATTTCTGTTGTGTGCATTCAACTCACAGAGTTGAACTTTCCTTTAGACAGAGCAGATTTGAAACACTCTTTTTGTGGAATTTCCATGTGGAAATTTCAATCGCTTTGAGGCCAATGGTAGAAAAAGAAATATCTTCGTATAAAAATTAGACAGAATCATTCTCAGAAACTACTTTGTGATGTGTGCGTTCAACTCACAGAGTTTAACCTTTCTTTTCATGCAGCAGTGTGGAAACACTCTGGTTGGATAGTCCGCAAGAGGATATTTGGACCTCTTTGAGACTTTCCTTAGAAAAGGGATTTCTTCATATAATGCTAGACAGAAGAATTCTCAGTAACTTCTTTGTGTTGTGTGTATTCCACTCACAGACTTGAACCTTCCTTTAGAGAGAGCACATTTGATACACTCTTTTTGTGGAAATTGCACGAGGAGATTTCAAGCGCTTTCAGGCCAAGGGTAGAAAAGGTAGTATCTTCGTATAAAATCTAGACAGGATCATTCTGAGAAACTACTTTGTGACGTGTGCATTCAACTCACAGAGTTTAACCTTTCTTTTCATAGTGCTGTTTAGAAACACTCTCTTTTTAATATCTGCACGTGGAAAATTGGACCTCTTTGAGGCCTTCGTTGGAAACGGGATTTCTTCATATAATGTTGGAGAAAGAATTCTCAGTAACTTCTTTGTGTCCTGTGTATTCAATTCACAGGTTTGAAACTTCTTTTAGGCGGAGCAGATGTGAAACACTCTTTCTGTGACATTTGCAGTTGGAGATTTCAAGCGCTTATAGGCCAAAAGTAGGAAAGGAAATATCTTCGTATAAAAAGTAGACAGAATCATTCTCAGAAACTACTTTGTGATGTGTGTGTTCAATTCACAGAGTTTAACCTTTCTTTTGATTGAGCAGTTTGGAAACACTCTCTTTGTAAAGTCTGCCAGTGGATATATGGACCTCTTTGAGTGCCTCGTTGGAAACGGGATTTCTTCATATAATGCTAGACAGAATAATTCTCCGTAACTTCTTTGTGTTGTGTGTATTCAACTCACAGAGTTGAACATTCCTTTAGACAGAGCAGATGTGAAACACTCTTTCTGTGATATTTGCAGATGGAGATTTCAAGCACATTTAGGCCACATGTAGAAAAGGAAATATCTTCGTATAAAAACTAGACAGAATAATTTTCAGAAACTACTTTGTGATGTGTGCGTTCAATTCACAGAGTTTAACCTTTCTTTTGATTGAGCAGTTTGGAAACACTCTGTTTGTAAAGTTTGCCAGTGGATATTTGGACACCTTTGAGGCCTTCATTGGAAACGGGATTTCTTCATATTATGTTAGACAGAAGAATTCTCAGAAACTTATTTGTGTTATATTTATTCAACTAGCAGAATTGAAACTTCCTTTTGACAGAGCAGATTTGATACACTCTTTTTGTGGAATTTCCAGGTGCAGATTTCAATCGCTTTGAGGCCAATGGTAGAAAAGGACATATATTCGTAGAAAAACAAGAGAGAATCATTCTCAGAAACTACTTTGTGATGTGTGCGTTCAACTCGCAGAGTTTAACCTTTCCTTTCATAGAGCAGTTTGGAGAAACTCTCTTTGTAAAGTCTGAAAGTGGATATTTATACCTCTTTGAGGTCTTCTTTGGAAACGGGATTTCTTCATATAATGCTAGAAAGAAGAATTCTCAGTAACTTCTTTGTGGTGCCTGTATTCAACTCACAGAAGTGAACCAACCTTTAGACCGAGCAGATGTGAAACACTCTTTTTGTTGAATTTACAGGTGGAGATTTCACGTTGTTTGTGGCCAATGGTAGAAAAGGAAATATTTTTTGTATAATAACTAGACAGAATCATTCTCAGAAACTACTTTGTGATGTGTGCGTTCAATTCACAGAGTTTAACCTTTCTTTTGATTGAGCAGTTTGGAAACACTCTGTTTGCAAAGTCTGCAAGTGGATATTTAGACCTCTTTGAGGCCTTCTTTGGAAACGGGATTTCTTCATATACTGCTAGAAAGAAGAATTCTCAGTAACTGCTTTGTGTTGTGTGTATTCCACTCACAGACTTAAACCTTCCTTTAGAGAGAGGAGATTTGATACACTCATTTTGTGGAATTTGCAGGTGGAAATTTCAAGCGCTTTGAGGCCAAGGGTAGAAAAGGAAGTATCTTCGTATAAAATCTTGACAGAATCATTCTCAGTAACTACTTTTTGATGTGTGCGTTCAACTCACAGATTTTAACCTTTCTTTTCATAGAGCAGCCTGGAAACACTCTGTTTGTAAAGTCTCCAAGAGGATATTTGGACCTCTTTGAGCCCTTCTTTGGAAACGGGATTTCTTCATATACTGCTAGACAGAATAAATCTTAATAACTTCCTTGTGTTGTGTGTATTCAACTCATAGAGTTGAAACTTCCTTTAGACAGAGCAGATGTGAAATACTCTTTTTGTGATATTTGCACGTGGAGATTTGTAGAGCTTTTAGGCCAAAGATAGAAAAGGATATATCTTCGTATAAAAACTATACAGAATCATTCTGAGAATCTACTTTGTGATGTGTGCGATCAATTCACAGAGTTTAACCTTTCTTTTCATGCAGCAGTTTGGAAACACTCTGTTTCAAAGTCTGCAAGAAGATATTTGGACCTCTTTGAGACTTTCCTTAGAAAAGGGATTTCTTCATATAATGCTAGACAGAAGAATTCTCAGTAACTTCTTTGTGTTGTGTGTATTCCACTCACAGACTTGAACCTTCCTTTAGAGAGAGCACATTTGACACACTCTTATTGTGGAATTTGCATGCGGAGATTTCAAGCTCTTTCTGGCCAAGGGTAGAAAAGGAAATATCTTCGTATAAAATCTAGACAGAATCATTCTGAGAAACTACTTTTTCATGTGTGCGTTCAACATACAGAGTTTAACCTTTCTTTTCATAGAGCTGTTTAGAAACACTCTCTTTGTGATATCTGCAAGTGGATAATTGGAGTTCTTTGAGGCCTTCGTTGGAAACGGGATTTCTTCATATAATGTTAGACAGAAGAATTCTCAGTAACTTCTTTGTGTTCTGTGTATTCAACTCACAGAGTTGAACCTTCTTTTAGAAGGAGCAGATGTGAAAATCTCTTTTTGTGATATTTGCAGTTGGAGATTTCGAGCGCTTATACGCCAAAAGTAGAAAAGGAAATATCTTCGTATAAAATATAGACAGAAACATTCTCAGAAACTACTTTGTGATGTGTGCGTTCAATTCACAGAGTTTAACCTTTCTTTTGATTGAGCAGTTTGGAAACACTCTCTTTGTAAATTCTGCAAGTGGATATATGGACCTCTTTGAGTCCTTCGTTGGAAACGGGATTTCTTCATATAATGCCAGACAGAAGAATTCTCAGTAACTTATTTCTGTTGTGTGCATTCAACTCACAGAGTTGAACTTTCCTTTAGACAGAGCAGATTTGAAACACTCTTTTTGTGGAATTTCCATGTGGAAATTTCAATCTCTTTGAGGCCAATGGTAGAAAAAGAAATATCTTCGTATAAAAAGTAGACAGAATCATTCTCAGAAACTACTTTTTGATGTGTGCATTCAACTCACAGAGTTTAACCTTTCTTTTCATGCAGCAGTGTGGAAACACTCTCGTTGGATAGTCCGCAAGAGGATATTTGGACCTCTTTGAGACTTTCCTTAGAAAAGGGATTTCTTCATATAATGCTAGACAGAAGAATTCTCAGTAACTTCTTTGTGTTGTGTGTATTCCACTCACAGACTTGAACCTTCCTTTAGACAGAGCACATTTGATACACTCTTTTTGTGGAATTTGCATGTGGAGATTTCAAGCGCTTTCAGGCCAAGGGTAGAAAACGTAGTATCTTCGTATAAAATCTAGACAGAATCATTCTGAGAAACTACTTTGTCATGTGAGCGTTCAACTCACAGAGTTTAACATTTCTTTTCATAGTGCTGTTTAGAATCACTCTCTTTTTAATATCTGCACGTGGAAAATTGGACCTCTTTGAGGCCTTCGTTGGAAACGGGATTTCTTCATATACTGCTGGACAAAGAATTCTCAGTAACTTCTTTGTGTCCTGTGTATTCAACTCACAGAGTTGAACCTTCTTTTCAATGGAGCAGATGTGAAACACTCTTTCTGTGATATTTGAAGTTGGAGATTTCAAGCGCTTATAGGCCAAAAGTAGAAAAGGAAATATCTTCGTATAAAAAGTAGACAGAATCATTCTCAGAAACTAATTTGTGATGTGTGCGTTCAATTCACAGAGTTTAACCTTTCTTTTGATTGAGCATTTTGGAAACACTCTCTTTGTAAAGTCTGCCAGTGGATATTTGGCCACCTTTGAGGCCTTCGTTGAAAACGGGATTTCTTCATATAATGTTAGACAGAAGAATTCTCAGAAACTTATTTGTGTTATATTTATTCAACTAGCAGGATTGAAACTTCCTTTTGACAGAGCAGATTTGATACACTCTTTTTGTGGAATTTCCAGGTGCAGATTTCAATCGCTTTGAGGCCAATGGTAGAAAAGGACATATATTCGTAGAAAAACAAGAGAGAATCATTCTCAGAAACTACTTTGTGATGTGTGCGTTCAACTCGCAGAGTTTAACCTTTCTTTTCATAGAGCAGTTTGGAAAAACTCTCTTTGTAAAGTCTGCAAGTGGATATTTATACCTCTTTGAGGCCTTCTTTGGAAACGGGATTTCTTCATATAATGCTAGAAAGAAGAATTCTCAGTAACTTCTTTCTGTTGCCTGTATTCAACTCACAGAAGTGAACCAACCTTTAGACCGAGCAGATGTGAAACACTCTTTTTGTTGAATTTGCAGGTGGAGATTTCACGTGCTTTGTGGCCAATGGTAGAAAAGGAAATATTTTTGTGTGATAACTAGACAGAATCATTCTCACAAACTACTTTGTGATGTGTGCGTTCAAATCACAGAGTTTAACCTTTCTTTTCATAGAGCAGTTTGGAAACACTCTGTTTGCAAAGTCTGCAAGTGGATATTTAGACCTCTTTGAGGCCTTCTTTGGAAACGGGATTTCTTCATATACTGCTAGAAAGAAGAATTCTCAGTAAATTCTTTGTGTTGTGTGTATTCCACTCACAGACTTGAACTTTTCAGTTGAGAGAGGAGATTTCATACACTCTTTTTGTGGAATTTGCAGGTGAAGATTTCAAGCGCTTTCAGGTCAAGGGTAGAAAAGGAACTATCTTCGTAAAAAATCTAGACAGAATCATTCTCAGAAACTACTTTTTGATGTGTGCGTTCAACTCACAGATTTTAACCTTTCTTTTCATAGAGCAGCCTGGAAACACTCTGTTTGTAAAGTCTTCAAGAGGATATTTGGACCTCTTTGAGGCCTTCGTTGGAAACGGGATTTCTTCATATAATGTTAGACAGAATAAATCTTAATAACTTCCTTCTGTTGTGTGTATTCAACTCATAGAGTTGAAACTTCCTTTAGAGAGAGCAGATGTGCAATACTCTTTTTTGTGATATTTGCACGTGGAGATTTCTAGCGCTTTCAGGCCAAAAATAGAAAAGGAAATACCTTTGTATAAAAACTATACAGAATCATTCTGAGAATCTACTTTGTGATGTGTGAATTCAATTCACAGAGTTTAACCTTTCCTTTGATTGTGCAGTTTGGAAACACTCTCTTTGTAAATTCTGCAAGTGGATATATGGACCTCTTTTTGGCCTTCGTTGGAAAAGGTATTTCTTCATTGCATGTTAGACAGAAGAATTCTCAGTACCTTATATGTGTTGTGTGCTTTCAACTCACAGTGTTGAACCTTCCTTTACATAAAGCAGATTTGAAACATTCTTTTTGTGGATTTCCCAGGTGGAGATTTCAATCGCCTCGAGGCCAATGGTAGAAAAGGTAATATCTTCATATAAAAACAAGACAAAATCATTCTCAGAAACTACTTTGTGATGTGTGCGTTCAACTCGCAGAGTTTAACCTTTCTTTTCATAGAGCAGTTTGGAAAAACTCTCTTTGTAAAGTCTGCAAGTGGATATTTATACCTCTTTGAGGCCTTCTTTGGAAACGGGATTTCTTCATATAATGCTAGAAAGAAGAATTCTCAGTAACTTCTTTCTGTTGCCTGTATTCAACTCACAGAAGTGAACCAACCTTTAGACCGAGCAGATGTGAAACACTCTTTTTGTTGAATTTGCAGGTGGAGATTTCACGTGCTTTGTGGCCAATGGTAGAAAAGGAAATATTTTTGTGTGATAACTAGACAGAATCATTTTCAGAAACTACTTTGTGATGTGTGCGTTCAACTCACAGAGTGTAACCTTTCTTTTCATAGACCAGTTTGGAAACACTCTGTTTCTAAATGTGCAAGTGGATATTTGGACCTCTTGGAGGTCTTCTTTTTAAATGGGATTTCTTCATATAACGCTATACAGAAGAATTCTCAGTAAATTCTTTGTGTTGTGTGTATTCCACTCACAGACTTGAACTTTTCAGTTGAGAGAGGAGATTTCATACACTCTTTTTGTGGAATTTGCAGGTGAAGATTTCAAGCGCTTTCAGGTCAAGGGTAGAAAAGGAACTATCTTCGTAAAAAATCTAGACAGAATCATTCTCAGAAACTACTTTTTGATGTGTGCATTCAACTCACAGATTTTAACCTTTCTTTTCATAGAGCAGCCTGGAAACACTCTGTTTGTAAAGTCTGCAAGAGGATATTTGGACCTCTTTGAGGCCTTCTTTGGAAACGGGATTTCTTCATATACTGCTAGACAGAATAAATCTTAATAACTTCCTTGTGTTGTGTGTATTCAACTCATAGAGTTGAAACTTCCTTTAGACAGAGCAGATGTGAAATACTCTTTTTGTGATATTTGCACGTGGAGATTTGTAGAGCTTTTAGGCCAAAGATAGAAAAGGATATATCTTCGTATAAAAACTATACAGAATCATTCTGAGAATCTACTTTGTGATGTGTGCGATCAATTCACAGAGTTTAACCTTTCTTTTCATGCAGCAGTTTGGAAACACTCTGTTTCAAAGTCTGCAAGAAGATATTTGGACCTCTTTGAGACTTTCCTTAGAAAAGGGATTTCTTCATATAATGCTAGACAGAAGAATTCTCAGTAACTTCTTTGTGTTGTGTGTATTCCACTCACAGACTTGAACCTTCCTTTAGAGAGAGCACATTTGACACACTCTTATTGTGGAATTTGCATGCGGAGATTTCAAGCTCTTTCTGGCCAAGGGTAGAAAAGGAAATATCTTCGTATAAAATCTAGACAGAATCATTCTGAGAAACTACTTTTTCATGTGTGCGTTCAACATACAGAGTTTAACCTTTCTTTTCATAGAGCTGTTTAGAAACACTCTCTTTGTGATATCTGCAAGTGGATAATTGGAGTTCTTTGAGGCCTTCGTTGGAAACGGGATTTCTTCATATAATGTTAGACAGAAGAATTCTAAGTAACTTCTTTGTGTTCTGTGTATTCAACTCACAGAGTTGAACCTTCTTTTAGAAGGAGCAGATGTGAAAATCTCTTTTTGTGATATTTGCAGTTGGAGATTTCGAGCGCTTATACGCCAAAAGTAGAAAAGGAAATATCTTCGTATAAAAAGTAGACAGAATCATTCTCAGAAACTACTTTGTGATGGGTGCGTTCAATTCACAGAGTTTAAACTTTCTTTTGATTGAGCAGTTTGGAGACACTCTCCTTGTAAATTCTGCAAGTGGATATATGGACCTCTTTGTGTCCTTCGTTGGAAACGTGATTTCTTCGTATAATGTTAGACAGAAGAATTCAAGTAACTTATTTCTGTTGTGTGCATTCAACTCACAGAGTTGAACTTCCCTTTAGACAGAGCAGATTTGAAACACTCTTTTTGTGGAATTTCCATGTGGAAATTTCAATCGCTTTGAGGCCAATGGTAGGAAAAGAAGTATCTTCGTATAAAAAGTAGACAGAATTATTCTCAGAAACTACTTTTTGATGTGTGCGTTCAACTCACAGAGTTTAACCTTTCTTTTCATGCAGCAGTGTGGAAACACTCTGGTTGGATAGTCCGCAAGAGGATATTTGGACCTCTTCGAGACTTTCCTTAGAAAAGGGATTTCTTCATATAATGCTAGACAGAAGAATTCTCAGTAACTTCTTTGTGTCCTGTGTATTCAATTCACAGGTTTGAAACTTCTTTTAGGCGGAGCAGATGTGAAACACTCTTTCTGTGACATTTGCAGTTGGAGATTTCAAGCGCTTACAGGCTAAAAGTAGAAAAGGAAATATCTTCGTATAAAAAGTAGACAGAATCATTCTCAGAAACTACTTTGTGATGTGTGCGTTCAATTCACAGAGTTTAACCTTTCTTTTGATTGAGCAGTTTGGAAACACTCTCTTTGTAAATTCTGCAAGTGGATATATGGACCTCTTTGAGTCCTTCGTTGGAAACGGGATTTCTTCATATAATGCCAGACAGAATAATTCTCCGTAACTTCTTTGTGTTGTGTGTATTCAACTCACAGAGTTGAACATTCCTTTAGACAGAGCAGATGTGAAACACTCTTTCTGTGATATTTGCAGATGGAGATTTCAAGCACATTTAGGCCACATGTAGAAAAGGAAATATCTTCGTATAAAAAGTAGACAGAATCATTCTCAGAAACTACTTTGTGATGTGTGCGTTCAATTCACAGAGTTTAACCTTTCTTTTGATTGACCAGTTTGGAAACACTCTGTTTGTAAAGTTTGCCAGTGGATATTTGGACACCTTTGAGGACTTCGTTGGAAACGGGATTTCTTCATATAATGTTAGACAGAAGAATTCTCAGAAACTTATTTGTGTTATATTTATTCAACTAGCAGAATTGAAACTTCCTTTTGACAGAGCAGATTTGATACACTCTTTTTGTGGAATTTCCAGGTGCAGATTTCAATCGCTTTGAGGCCAGTGGTAGAAAAGGACATATATTCATAGAAAAACAAGAGAGAATCCTTCTCAGAAACTACTTTGTGATGTGTGCGTTCAACTCGCAGAGTTTAACCTTTCTTTTCATAGAGCAGTTTGGAAAAACTCTCTTTGTAAAGTCTGCAAGTGGATATTTGGACCTCTTTGAGGCCTTCGTTGGAAACGGGATTTCTTCATATAATGCTAGAAAGAAGAATTCTCAGTAACTTCTTTCTGTTGCCTGTATTCAACTCACAGAAGTGAACCAACCTTTAGACCGAGCAGATGTGAAACACTCTTTTTGTTGAATTTGCAGGTGGAGATTTCACGTGCTTTGTGGCCAATGGTAGAAAAGGAAATATTTTTGTGTGATAACTAGACAGAATCATTCTCACAAACTACTTTGTGATGTGTGCGTTCAAATCACAGAGTTTAACCTTTCTTTTCATAGAGCAGTTTGGAAACACTCTTTGCAAAGTCTGCAAGTGGATATTTAGACCTCTTTGAGGCCTTCTTTGGAAATGGGATTTCTTCATATACTGCTAGAAAGAAGAATTCTCAGTAAATTCTTTGTGTTGTGTGTATTCCACTCACAGACTTGAACTTTTCAGTTGAGAGAGGAGATTTCATACACTCTTTTTGTGGAATTTGCAGGTGGAGATTTCAAGCGCTTTCAGGCCAAGGGTAGAAAAGGAAGTATCTTCGTAAAAAATCTAGACAGAATCATTCTCAGAAACTACTTTTTGATGTGTGCATTCAACTCACAGATTTTAACCTTTCTTTTCATAGAGCAGCCTGGAAACACTCTGTTTGTAAAGTCTGCAAGAGGATATTTGGACCTCTTTGAGGCCTTCTTTGGAAACGGGATTTCTTCATATACTGCTAGACAGAATAAATCTTAATAACTTCCTTGTGTTGTGTGTATTCAACTCATAGAGTTGAAACTTCCTTTAGACAGAGCAGATGTGAAATACTCTTTTTGTGATATTTGCACGTGGAGATTTGTAGAGCTTTTAGGCCAAAGATAGAAAAGGATATATCTTCGTATAAAAACTATACAGAATCATTCTGAGAATCTACTTTGTGATGTGTGCGATCAATTCACAGAGTTTAACCTTTCTTTTCATGCAGCAGTTTGGAAACACTCTGTTTCAAAGTCTGCAAGAAGATATTTGGACCTCTTTGAGACTTTCCTTAGAAAAGGGATTTCTTCATATAATGCTAGACAGAAGAATTCTCAGTAACTTCTTTGTGTTGTGTGTATTCCACTCACAGACTTGAACCTTCCTTTAGAGAGAGCACATTTGACACACTCTTATTGTGGAATTTGCATGCGGAGATTTCAAGCTCTTTCTGGCCAAGGGTAGAAAAGGAAATATCTTCGTATAAAATCTAGACAGAATCATTCTGAGAAACTACTTTTTCATGTGTGCGTTCAACATACAGAGTTTAACCTTTCTTTTCATAGAGCTGTTTAGAAACACTCTCTTTGTGATATCTGCAAGTGGATAATTGGAGTTCTTTGAGGCCTTCGTTGGAAACGGGATTTCTTCATATAATGTTAGACAGAAGAATTCTAAGTAACTTCTTTGTGTTCTGTGTATTCAACTCACAGAGTTGAACCTTCTTTTAGAAGGAGCAGATGTGAAAATCTCTTTTTGTGATATTTGCAGTTGGAGATTTCGAGCGCTTATACGCCAAAAGTAGAAAAGGAAATATCTTCGTATAAAAAGTAGACAGAATCATTCTCAGAAACTACTTTGTGATGGGTGCGTTCAATTCACAGAGTTTAAACTTTCTTTTGATTGAGCAGTTTGGAGACACTCTCCTTGTAAATTCTGCAAGTGGATATATGGACCTCTTTGTGTCCTTCGTTGGAAACGTGATTTCTTCGTATAATGTTAGACAGAAGAATTCAAGTAACTTATTTCTGTTGTGTGCATTCAACTCACAGAGTTGAACTTGCCTTTAGACAGAGCAGATTTGAAACACTCTTTTTGTGGAATTTCCATGTGGAAATTTCAATCGCTTTGAGGCCAATTGTAGGAAAAGAAGTATCTTCGTATAAAAAGTAGACAGAATTATTCTCAGAAACTACTTTTTGATGTGTGCGTTCAACTCACAGAGTTTAACCTTTCTTTTCATGCAGCAGTGTGGAAACACTCTGGTTGGATAGTCCGCAAGAGGATATTTGGACCTCTTCGAGACTTTCCTTAGAAAAGGGATTTCTTCATATAATGCTAGACAGAATAATTCTCAGTAACTTCTTTGTGTTGTGTGTATTCCACTCACAGACTTGAACCTTCCTTTAGAGAGAGCACATTTGATACACTCTTTTTGTGGAATTTGCATGTGGAGATTTCAAGCGCTTTCAGGCCAAGTGTAGAAAAGGTAGTATCTTCGTATAAAATCTAGACAGAATCATTCTGAGAAACTACTTTGTCATGTGAGCGTTCAACTCACAGAGTTTAACCTTTCTTTTCATAGTGCTGTTTAGAATCACTCTCTTTTTAATATCTGCACGTGGAAAATTGGACCTCTTTGAGGCCTTCGTTGGAAACGGGATTTCTTCATATACTGCTGGACAAAGAATTCTCAGTAACTTCTTTGTGTCCTGTGTATTCAACTCACAGAGTTGAACCTTCTTTTAAATGGAGCAGATGGGAAACACTCTTTCTGTGATATTTGCAGTTGGAGATTTTAAGCGCTTATAGGCCAAAAGTAGAAAAGGAAAGAACTTCGTATAAAAAGTAGACAGAATCATTCTCAGAAACAACTTTGTGATGTGAGCGTTCAATTCACAGAGTTTAACCTTTCTTTTGATTGAGCAGTTTGGAAACACTCTCTTTGTAAAGTTTGCCAGTGGATATTTGGACACCTTTCAGGCCTTCGTTGGAAACGGGATTTCTTCATATAATGTTAGACAGAAGAATTCTCAGAAACTTATTTGTGTTATATTTATTCAACTAGCAGAATTGAAACTTCCTTTTGACAGAGCAGATTTGATACACTCCTTTTGTGGAATTTCCAGGTGCAGATTTCATTCGCTTTGAGGCCAATGGTAGAAAAGGACATATATTCGTAGAAAAACAAGAGAGAATCATTCTCAGAAACTACTTTGTGATGTGTGCGTTCAACTCGCCGAGTTTAACCTTTCTTTTCATAGAGCAGTTTGGAAAAACTCTCTTTGTAAAGTCTGCAAGTGGATATTTATACCTCTTTGAGGCCTTCTTTGGAAACGGGATTTCTTCATATAATGCTAGAAAGAAGAATTCTCAGTAACTTCTTTGTGGTGCCTGTATTCAACTCACAGAAGTGAACCAACCTTTAGACCGAGCAGATGTGAAACACTCTTTTTGTTGAATTTACAGGTGGAGATTTCACGTTGTTTGTGGCCAATGGTAGAAAAGGAAATATTTTTTGTATAATAACTAGACAGAATCATTCTCACAAACTACTTTGTGATGTGTGCGTTCAAATCACAGAGTTTAACCTTTCTTTTCATAGAGCAGTTTGGAAACACTCTTTGCAAAGTCTGCAAGTGGATATTTAGACCTCTTTGAGGCCTTCTTTGGAAACGGGATTTCTTCATATACTGTTAGAAAGAAGAATTCTCAGTAACTGCTTTGTGTTGTGTGTATTCCACTCACAGACTTAAACCTTCCTTTAGAGAGAGGAGATTTGATACACTCATTTTGTGGAATTTGCAGGTGGAAATTTCAAGCGCTTTGAGGCCAAGGGTAGAAAAGGAAGTATCTTCGTATAAAATCTAGACAGAATCATTCTCAGAAACTACTTTTTGATGTGTGCGTTCAACTCACAGATTTTAACCTTTCTTTTCATAGAGCAGCCTGGAAACACTCTGTATGTAAAGTCTGCAAGAGGATATTTGGACCTCTTTGAGGCCTTCGTTGGAAACGGGATTTCTTCATATACTGCTAGACAGAATAAATCTTAATAACTTCCTTGTGTTGTGTGTATTCAACTCATAGAGTTGAAACTTCCTTTAGACAGAGCAGATGTGAAATACTCTTTTTGTGATATTTGCACGTGGAGATTTGTAGAGCTTTTAGGCCAAAGATAGAAAAGGATATATCTTCGTATAAAAACTATACAGAATCATTCTGAGAATCTACTTTGTGATGTGTGCGATCAATTCACAGAGTTTAACCTTTCTTTTCATGCAGCAGTTTGGAAACACTCTGTTTCAAAGTCTGCAAGAAGATATTTGGACCTCTTTGAGACTTTCCTTAGAAAAGGGATTTCTTCATATAATGCTAGACAGA
>NC_000012.12:34816711-34820185 GCF_000001405.40 Homo sapiens
ACTTTCCTTTAGACAGAGCAGATGTGAAACACCCTTTTTGAGGAATTTGAAGCTGGAGATTTAAAGCGCTTTGAGGCCAATGGTAGAAAAGGAAACATCTTCGTATAACATCTAGACAGCATCATTCACAGAAACTTCTTTTTGATGTGTGTGTTCAGCTCACAGAGTTTAACCTTTCTTTTGATGGAGCAGTTTGGAAACACTCTGTTTGTAATGTCTGCAAGTGGATATTTGGACCTCTGTGAGGCCTTCGTTGGAAACGGGATTTCTTCATGTAATGTTCGACAGAAGAATTCTCAGTAACTTATTTGTGGTGTGTGTATTCAACTCACAGAGTTGAACCTTCCTTTAGACAGAGCACATTTGAAATACTCTATTTGTGCAGTTTCCAGTTGGAGATTTCAATGGCTTTGAGGCCATTCGTAGAAACGGAAATACCTTCGTATAAAAACAAGACAGAATCATGCTCAGAGACTAATTTGTGATGTGTGCGTTCAACTCACGGAGTTTAAGCTTTCTTTTCATAGAGTAGTTTGGATACCCTCTGTTTGTAAAGTTTGCAAGCAGATATTTGGAGCTCTTTGAGGCCTTCATTGGAAATGGGATTTATTCATATCCCGCAAGAAAGAAGAATACTCAGTAACTTCTTTGTGTTGCCTCTATTCAACTCACAGAGGTGAACTGTCCTTTAGACAGAGCAGATGTGAAACACTCTTTCTGTGATATTTGCACGTGGAGATTTCAAGCGCTTTTAGGCAAAATGTAGAAAAGGAAATATCTTCGTATAAAAACTAGACAGAATCTTTCCCAGAAACTACTTTGTGATGTGTGCGTTCAATTCACAGAGTATAACCTTTCTTTTGATTGAGGAGTTTGGAGACACTGTCTTTGTAATGTCTGCAAGTGGATATTTGCACCTCTTTGAGGCCTTCGTTGGAAACGGGATTTCTTCATATAATGCTAGCAGAAGAATTCTCTGTAACTTCCTTGTGTTGTTTGTATTCAACTCACAGATTTGAACCTTCCTTTAGACAGAGCATATGTGAGACACTCTTTTTGTGATATTTGCAAGTGGAGATTTCAAGCTCTTCTATGCCAAAGGTAGAAAAGGATGTATCTTCGTATAAAAACTAGACAGAATCATTCTCAGAAACTAATTTGTGATGTGTGCGTTCAATTCTCAGAGTTTAACCTTTCTTTTGATTGAGCAGTTTGGAAACACTCTCTTTGTAATGTCTGCCAGTGGATATTTGGCCACCTTTTAGGCCTTCATTGGAAACGGGATTTCTTCATATAATGTTAGACAGACGAATTCTCAGAAACTTATTTGTGTTATGTTTATTCAACTAGTAGAATTGAAACTTCCTTTTGACAGAGCAGATTTGATACACTCTTTTTGTGGAATTTCCAGTTGCAGATTTCAATCGCTTTGAGGCCAATGGTAGAAAAGGACATATATTCGTAGAAAAACAAGAGAGAATCCTTCTCAGAAACTACTTTGTGATGTGTGCGTTCAACTCGCAGAGTTTAACCTTTCTTTTCATAGAGCAGTTTGGAAAAACTCTCTTTGTAAAGTCTGCAAGTGGATATTTGGACCTCTTTGAGGCCTTCGTTGGAAACGGGATTTCTTCATATAATGCTAGAAAGAAGAATTCTCAGTATCTTCTTTCTGTTGCCTGTATTCAACTCACAGAAGTGAACCAAACTTTAGACCGAACAGATGTGAAACACTCTTTTTGTTGAATTTGCAGGTGGAGATTTCACGTGCTTTGTGGCCAATGGTAGAAAAGGAAGTATCTTCGTATAAAATCTTGACAGAATCATTCTGAGAAACTACTTTGTGATGTGTGCATTCAATTCATAGAGTTTAAACTTTCTTTTTCATAGAGCAGTTTGGTAACACTCTGTTTGTAAAGTCTGCAAGTGGATATTTGGACCTCTTTGAGGCCTCTGTTGGAAACGGGATTTCTTCATATACTGATAGACAGAAGAATTCTCAGTAAATTCTTTGTATTGTGTGTATTCCAATCACAGACTTGAACTTTTCAGTTGAGAGAGGAGATTTCATACACTCTTTTTGTGGAATTTGCAGGTGGAGATTTCAAGCGCTTTCAGGCCAAGGGTAGAAAAGGAACTATCTTCGTAAAAAATCTAGACAGAATCATTCTCAGAAACTACTTTGTGAAGTGTGCTTTCAACTCACAGAGTTTAACCTTTCTTTTCATGCAGCAGTGTGGAAACACTCTGGTTGGACAGTCCGCAAGAGGATATTTGGACCTCTTCGAGCCTTTCCTTAGAAAAGGGTTTTCTTCATATAATGCTAGACAGAAGAATTCTCAGTAACTTCTTTGTGTTGTGTGTATTCCACTCACAGACTTGAACCTTCCTTTAGAGAGAGAACATTTGATACACTCTTTTTGTGGAATTTGCATGTGGAGATTTCAAGCGCTTTCAGGCCAAGGGTAGAAAAGGTAGTATCTTCGTACAAAATCTAGACAGAATCATTCTGAGAAACTACTTTGTCATGTGAGCGTTCAACTCACGGAGTTTAACCTTTCTTTTCAAGTGCTGTTTAGAATCACTCTCTTTTTAATATCTGCACGTGGAAAATTGGACCTCTTTGAGGCCTTCGTTGGAAAAGGGATTTCTTCATATAATGTTGGAGAAAGAATTCTCAGTAAATTTTTTGTGTCCTGTGTATTCAACTCACAGATTTGAACCTTCTTTTAGGCGGAGCAGATGTGAAACACTTTTTCTGTGATATTTGCAGTTGGAGATTTCAAGCGCTTATAGGCCAAAAGTAGAAAAGGAAATATCTTCATATAAAAAGTAGACAGAATCATTCTCAGAAACTACTTTGTGATGGGTGCGTTCAATTCACAGAGTTTAAACTTTCTTTTGATTGAGCAGTTTGGAGACACTCTCCTTGTAAATTCTGCAGGTGGATATATGGACCTCTTTGTGTCCTTCGTTGGAAGCGGGAATTCTTCGTATAATGTTAGACAGAAGAACTCTCAGTAACTTATTTCTGTTGTGTGCATTCAACTCACAGAGTTGACCTTTCCTTTAGACAGAGCAGATTTGAAACACTCTTTTTGTGGAATTTCCAAGTGGAAATTTCAATCGCTTTGAGGCCAATGGTAGAAAAAGAAATATCTTCGTATAAAAAGTAGACAGAATCATTCTCAGAAACTACTTTTGGATGTGTGCGTTCAACTCACAGAGTTTAACCTTTCTTTTCATGCAGCAGTGTGGAAACACTCTGGTTGGACAGTCCGCAAGAGGATATTTGGACCTCTTCGAGCCTTTCCTTAGAAAAAGGTTTTCTTCATATAATGCTAGACAGAAGAATTCTCAGTAACTTCCTTTGTGTGGGTGTATTCCACTCACAGACTTGAACCTTCCTTCAGAAGAGCACATTTGATACACTCTTTTTGTGGGATTTGCATGTGGAGATTTCAAGTGCTTTCAGGC
>NC_000012.12:34820285-34822289 GCF_000001405.40 Homo sapiens
AGTGTATCAAATCTGCTCTGTCAAAAGGAAGTTTCAATTCTGCTAGTTGAATACATATAACACAAATAAGTTTCTGAGAATTCTTCTGTCTAACATTATATGAAGAAATCCCGTTTCCAACGAAGTCCTCAAAGGTGTCCAAATATCCACTGGCAAACTTTACAAACAGAGTGTTTCCAAACTGGTCAATCAAAAGAAAGGTTAAACTCTGTGAATTGAACGCACACATCACAAAGTAGTTTCTGAGAATGATTCTGTCTACTTTTTATACGAAGATATTTCCTTTTCTACATGTGGCCTAAATGTGCTTGAAATCTCCATCTGCAAATATCACAGAAAGAGTGTTTCACATCTGCTCTGTCTAAAGGAATGTTCAACTCTGTGAGTTGAATACACACAACACAAAGAAGTTACGGAGAATTATTCTGTCTGGCATTATATGAAGAAATCCCGTTTCCAACGAAGGACTCAAGAGGTCCATATATCCACTTGCAGAATTTACAAAGAGAGTGTTTCCAAACTGCTCAATCAAAAGAAAGGTTAAACTCTGTGAATTGAACGCACACATCACAAAGTAGTTTCTGAGAATGATTCTGTCTACTTTTTATACGAAGATATTTCCTTTTCTACTTTTGGCCTGTAAGCGCTTGAAATCTCCAACTGCAAATGTCACAGAAAGAGTGTTTCACATCTGCTCCGCCTAAAAGAAGTTTCAAACCTGTGAATTGAATACACAGGACACAAAGAAGTTACTGAGAATTCTTTCTCCAAAATTATATGAAGAAATCCCGTTTCCAACGAAGGCCTCAAAGAGGTCCAATTTTCCACGTGCAGATATTAAAAAGAGAGTGATTCTAAACAGCACTATGAAAAGAAAGGCTAAACCGTGTGAGTTGAACACTCACATGACAAAGTAGTTTCTCGGAATGATTCTGTCTAGATTTTGTACGAAGATACTACCTTTTCTACCCTTGGCCTGAAAGCGCTTGAAATCTCCACATGCAAATTCCACAAAAAGAGTGTATCAAATGTGCTCTCTCTGAAGGAAGGTTCAAGTCTGTGAGTGGAATACACACAACACAAAGAAGTTACTGAGAATTCTTCTGTCTAGCATTATATGAAGAAAACCCTTTTCTAAGGAAAGGCTCGAAGAGGTCCAAATATCCTCTTGCGGACTGTCCAACCAGAGTGTTTCCACACTGCTGCATGAAAAGAAAGGTTAAACTCTGCGAGTTGAACGCACACATCACAAAGTAGTTTCTGAGAATGATTCTCTCTTGTTTTTCTATGAATATATGTCCTTTTCTACCACTGGCCTCAAAGCGATTGAAATCTGCACCTGGAAATTCCACAAAAAGAGTGTATCAAATCTGCTCTGTCAAAAGGAAGTTTCAATTCTGCTAGTTGAATAAATATAACACAAATAAGTTTCTGAGAATTCTTCTGTCTAACATTATATGAAGAAATCCCGTTTCCAACGAAGGCCTCAAAGGTGTCCAAATATCCACTGGCAAACTTTACAAACAGAGTGTTTCCAAACTGGTCAATCAAAAGAAAGGTTAAACTCTGTGAATTGAACGCACACATCACAAAGTAGTTTCTGAGAATGATTCTGTCTACTTTTTATACGAAGATATTTCCTTTTCTACATGTGGCCTAAATGTGCTTGAAATCTCCATCTGCAAATATCACAGAAAGAGTGTTTCACATCTGCTCTGTCTAAAGGAATGTTCAACTCTGTGAGTTGAATACACACAACACAAAGAAGTTACGGAGAATTATTCTGTCTGGCATTATATGAAGAAATCCCGTTTCCAACGAAGGACTCAAAGAGGTCCATATATCCACTTGCAGAATTTACAAAGAGAGTGTTTCCAAACTGCTCAATCAAAAGAAAGGTTAAACTCTGTGAATTGAACGCACACATCACAAAGTAGTTTCTGAGAATGATTCTGTCTACTTTTTATACGAAGATATTTCCTTTTCTACTTTTAGCCTGTAAGC
>NC_000012.12:34829237-34832088 GCF_000001405.40 Homo sapiens
AATATCCACTTGCAGACATGACAAACAGAGTGTTTCCAAACTGCTCCATCAAAAGAAAGGTTAAACTCTGTGAGTTGAACACACACATCAAAAAGAAGTTTCTGTGAATGATTCTGTCTAGATTTTATACGAAGATGTTTCCTTTTCTACCATAGGTCTCAAAGCGCTTGAAATCTCCACATGGAAACTCCACAAAAAGAGTGTTTCAAATCTGCTCTTTCGGAAGGAAGGTTCAACTCTTTGAGATGAATACACACAGCGCAAGTAAGTTACTGAGAATTCATCTGTGTAACTTTATATGAGGAAAACCCGTTTCCAACGAAGGCTTCAAAGAGGTCCAAATATCCACTTGCAGACTTTACAAAGACAGTGTCTCCAAACTCCTCCATCAAAACAAAGGTTATACTCTGTGAATTGAACGCACACATCACCAAGTAGTTTCTGAGAATGATTCTGTCTAGTTTTTATACGAAGATATTTCCTTTTCTACATTTGGCCTAAAAGCGCTTGATATCTCCACCTGCAAATATCACAAAAAGAGGGTTTCACATCTGCTCTGTCTAAAGGACAGTTCACTTCTCTGAGTTGAATAGAGGCAACAAAAAGAAGTTTCTGAGTATTCTTCTTTTTAGCTTTATATGAAGAAATCCCGTTTCCAACGAAAGCCTCAAAGAGGTCCAAATATCTGCTTGCAGACTTTACAGACAGAGTGTTTCCAAACTACTCTATGAAAAGAAAGCTTAAACTCCGTGAGTTGAACGCACACATCACAAAGTAGTTTCTGACAATGATTCTGTCTTGTATTTATACGAAGATATTTCCGTTTCTACGATTGGCCTCAAAGCGACTGAAATCTCCAACTGGAAACTGCACAGATAGGGTGTTTCAAATGTGCTCCGTCTAAAGGAAGGTTGGACTCTGGAGTTGAATACACACACCACAAATAAGTTACTGAGAATTCTTCTGTCGAACATTACATGAAGAAATCCCGTTTCCAACGAAGGCCTCAAAGAGGTCCAAATATCCACTTGCAGACATTACAAATAGAATGTTTCCAAACTGCTCCATCAAAAGAATGGTTAAACTCTGTGAGTTGAACACACATATCAAAAAGAAGTTTCTGTGAATGATTCTGTCTAGATTTTATACGAAGATGTTTCCTTTTCTAACATAGGCCTCAAAGCACTTGAAATCTCCAGCTGCAAATTCCACAAAAAGGGTGTTTAACATCTGCTCTTCTAAAGGAAAGTTCCACTCTGTGAGTTGAATACACACAGCAGAAATAAGTTACTGAGAATTCTTCTGTCTAACATTATATGAAGAAATTCCGTTTCCAACGAAGGCCACAAAGAGGTCCAAATATCCACTTGCAGACGTGACAAACAGAGTGTTTCCAAACTGCTCCATCAAAAGAAAGTTTAAACTCTGTGAGTTGAACAGACACATCACAAAGTAGTTTCTGTGAATGATTCTGTCTAGATTTTATACGAAGATGTTTCCTTTTCTACCATAGGCCTCAAAGCGCTTGAAATCTCCACATGGAAACTCCACAAAAAGAGTGTTTCAAATCTGCTCTTTCTGAAGGAAGGTTCAACTCTTTGAGATGAATACACACTGCACAAGTAAGTTACTGAGAATTCATCTGTGTAACATTATGTGAGGAAACCCGTTTCCAACGAAGGCTTCAAAGAGGTCCAAATATCCACATGCAGACTTTACAAAGACAGTGTCTCCAAACTCCTCCATCAAAACAAAGGTTATACTCTGTGAATTGAACGCACACATCACAAAGTAGTTTCTGAGAATGATTCTGTCTAGTTTTTATACGAAGATATTTCCTTTTCTACATTTGGCCTAAAAGCACTTGAAATCTCCACCTACAGATGTCACAAAAAGAGGGTTTCACATCTGCTCTGTCTAAAGGACAGTTCAACTCTGTGAGTTGAATAGAGGCAACACAAAGAAGTTACTGAGTATTCTTCTTTCTAGCGTTATATGAAGAAATCCCGTTTCCAACGAAGGCCTCAAAGAGGTCCAAATATCTGCTTGTAGACTTACAGACAGAGTGTTTCCAAACTACTCTATGAAAAGAAAGCTTAAACTCCGTGACTTGAACGCGCACATCACAAAGTAGTTTCTGAGAATGATTCTGTCTTGTTTTTATACGAAGATATTTCCGTTTCTACGATTGGCCTCAAAGCGATTGAAATCTCCAACTGGAAACTGCACAAACAGAGTGTTTCAAATGTGCTCTGTCTAAAGGAAGTTTCAACTCTGTGAGTTGAATACACACCCCACAAATAAGTTACTGAGAATTCTTCTGTCGAACATTACAAGAAGAAATCCCGTTTCCAACGAAGGCCTCAAAGAGGTCCAAATATCCACTTGCAGACATGACAAACAGAGTGTTTCCAAACTCCTCCATCAAAAGAAAGGTTAAACTCTGTGAGTTGAACACACACATCAAAAAGAAGTTTCTGTCAATGATTCTGTCTAGATTTTATACGAAGATGTTTCCTTTTCTACCATAGGCCTCAAAGCGCTTGAAATCTCCACATGGAAACTCCACAAAAGGAGTGTTTCAAATCTGCTCTTTCGGAAGGAAGGTTCAACTCTTTGAGATGAATACACACAGCACAAGTAAGTTACTGAGAATTCATCTGTGTAACTTTATATGAGGAAAACCCGTTTCCAACGAAGGCTTCAAAGAGGTCCAAATATCCACTTACAGACATTACAAAGACAGTGTCTCCAAACTCCTCCATCAAAACAAAGGTTATACTCTGTGAATTCAACGCACACATCACCAAGTAGTTTATGAGAATGATTCTGTCTGTTTTTTATACGAAGA
>NC_000012.12:34832188-34835195 GCF_000001405.40 Homo sapiens
AGAATACAAACAGGGTGTTTCCAAACCGCTCCATCAAAAGAAAGGTTAAAAACTGTGAGTTGAACACACGTCAGAAAGAAATTTCTGTGAATGATTCTCTCTAGATTTTATACGACGTTATTTCCTTTTCTACCATTGGCTTCAAAGCGCTTGAAATCTCCACCTGCAAATTCCATAAAAAGAGTGTTTCACATCTGGTCTGTATAAAGGAAAGTTCAACTCTCTGAGTTGAATACACACACCACAAATAAGTTACTGAGACTTCTTCTATCTAACATTATATGGAGAAATCCCGTTTCCAACGAAGGCCACAAAGAGTTCCAAATATCCACTTGCAGACCTTACAACCAGAGTGTTTCCAAACTGCTCGATGAAGAGAAAGGTTAAACTCTGTGAGTTGAACGCACACATCACAATGTAGTTTCTCAGAATGATTCTGTCTAGTTTTTATACGACGATGTTTCCTTTGCTACCATTGGCCTCAAAGCGCTTGAAATCTCCACTTGCAAATTCCACAAAAAGAGTGTTTCAAATCTGCTCTGTCTAAAGCAAGGATCAACTCTGTACGTTGAATACACGCAACACAAAGAAGTTACTAAGAATTCTTCTGTCTAGCATTATATGAAGAAATCCCGTTTCCAACGAAGGCCACAATGAGTTCCAAATTTCCACTTGCAGATATTACAAAGAGAGTGTTTAAAAACTGCTCTATGTAAAGAAATGTTAAACTCTGTGAGTTGAACGTACACATCACAAACTAGTTTCTGAGAATGATTCTCTCTAGATTTTATACGAAGATACATCCTTTTCTAACCTTGGCCTCAAAGCGCTTGAAATCTCCACATGCAAATTCCACAAAAAGAGTGTATCAAATGTCCTCTCTCTAAAGGAACGTTGAAGTCTGTGAGTAGAATACACGCAACACAAAGAAGTTACTGAGAATTCTTCTGTCTAGCATTATATGAAGAAATCCAGTTTCCAATGGATGCCTCAAAGAGCTCCAAATACCCACTTGCAGACCTTCAAACAGAGTGTTTCCAACTGCTCTATGAAAAGAAAGGTTAAACTCTGTGAGTGGTATACACACATCACAAAGTAGTTTCTGAGAATGATTCTGTCTGCATTTTATACGAAGATATTTCCTGTTCTTCATTTGGCCTCAAAGCGCTTGAAATCTCCACCTGCAAATTCCACAGAAAGAGTGTTTCACATCTGCTCTGTCTAAAGGACTGTTCACCTCTGTGAGTTGAATAGAGGCAACCCAATGAAGTTACTGAGTATTCTTCTTTGTAGCGTTTTATGAAGAAGTCCCGTTTCCAATGAAGGCCTCAAAGAGGTCCAAATATCTACTTGCAGACTTTAGAAACAGAGTGTTTCCAAATTGCTCTATGAAAAGAAAGGTTAAACTCTGTGAGTTGAACGCACACATCACAAAGTAGTTTCTGAGAACGATTCTGTCTTGTTTTTATACGAAGATATTTCCTATTCTATCATTGGGCTCAAAGCCCTTGAAATCTCCACCTGCAAATTCCACAAAAAGAGTGTATCAAATCTGCTCTGTCTAAAGGATGGTTCAATTCTGTGAGATGAATACACACAACACAAAGTAGTTACTGAGAATTCTTCTGTCTAGCATTATATGAAGAAATCCCGTTTCCAACGAAGTCCTCCAAGGGGTCCAAATATCCACTTGCAGGCTTTACAAACAGAGTGTTTCCAAAGTGCTCTATGAAAAGAAAGGTTAAACTCTGTGAGTTGAACGCACACACCACAAAGTAGTTTCTGAGAATGATTCTGTCTAGTTTTTATACGAAGATATTTCCTTTTCTACCCTTGGCCTCAAAGTGCTTGAAAACTGCAATTGCAAATTCTACAAAAGGATTGTAACATTGGCCTCAAAGAGCTTGAAATGTCCACCTGCAAATTCCACAAAAAGAGTGTTTCAAATCCGCTCTGTCTGATGGAAGGTTCACCTCTGTGAGTTGAATACACGTAACACAAAGAAGTTACTCAGAATTCTTCCGTCTTGCATTATATGAAGAAATCCCGTTTCCAATGAAAGCCTCAAAGAAGTCCAAATAGCCACTTGCAGATTTTACAAGCATAGTGTTTCCAAACTGCTCTGTGAAAAGAAAGGTGAAACTCTCTGAGTTGAACGCACACATCACAAAGTGGTTTCTGAGAATGATTCTGTCTAGTTTTTATACGAAGATATTTCCTTTTCTTCCCTTTTCCTCAAAGTGCATGAAATCTCAACCTGCAATTTCCACAAAAAGAGTGTATCAAATCTGCTCTGTCTAAGGAAGGCTCAACTCTGTGAGTTGAATACACACAACACAAAGAAGTTACTGAGAATTCTTCTGTCTAACATTACATGAAGAAAGCCCTTTTCCAACGAAGGCCTCCAAGAGGTCTAAATAAGCACTTGCAGACTTTACAAACAGAGTGTTTCCAAACTGCTTAAGAAAAGAAAGCTTAAACTCTGTGAGTTGAACGTACTCATCACAGTGTAGTTTCTGAGAATGATTCTGTCTAGTTGTTATGCGAAGATATTTCCTTTTCTACCAAAGGGCTCAAAGCGCTTGAAATCTCCACCTACAAATTCCACAAAAAGTGTCTTTCAAATCAGCTCTTTCTAAACTAAGGTTCATCTCTGTGAGTTGAGTACACGCAACACAAAAAGTTCCTGAGAATTCTTCTGTCTAGCATTATATGAAGAAATCCCGTTTCCAACGAAGGCCTCCAAGAGGTCCAAATATCCACTTGCAGGCTTTACAAACAGAGTGTTTCCAAACTGCTCTATGAAAAGAAAGGTTAAACTCTGTGAGTTGAACGCACACACCACAAAGTAGTTTCCGAGAATGATTCTGTCTAGTTTTTATACGAAGATATTTCCTTTTCTACCCTAGGCCTCAAAGTGCTTGAAAACTCCAATTGCAAATTGTACAAAACGATTGTAACATTGGCCTCAAAGAGCTTGAAATCTCCACCTGCAAATTGCACAAAA
>NC_000012.12:34835295-34849901 GCF_000001405.40 Homo sapiens
ATCATTCTCAGAAACAACTTTGTGATGTGTGCGTTCAACTCAAGGAGTTTAAGCTTTCTTTTCATAGAGTAGTTTGGAAACACTCAGTCTGTAAAGTCGGCAAGCAGATATTTGGACCTCTTTGAGGCCTTCGTTGGAAACGGGATTTCTTCATATAACGCTAGAAAGAAGAATACTGAGTAAGTTCTTTGTGTTGCCTCTATTCAACTCACAGAGGTGAACTGTCCTGTAGACAGAGCAGATGTGAAACCCTCTTTTTGTGATATTTGCAGGTGGAGATTTCAAGCGCTTTTAGGCCAAATATAGAAAAGGAAATATCTTCGTATAAAAACTAGACAGAATCATTCTCAGAAACTACTTTGTGATGTGTGTGTTCAACTCAAGGAGTTTAACCTTTCTTTTGATGGAGCAGTTTGGAAAAACTCTGTCTGTAAAGTCTGCAAGCAGATATTTGGACCTCTTTGGGGCCTTCGTTGGAAACGGGATTTCTTCATATAATGTTTGATAGGAGAAGTCTCAGTAACTTCTTTGTGCTGTGTGTATTCAACTCATAGAGTTGAACTTTCCTTTAGAAGAGCAGATGTTAAACACCCTTTTTTTGGAATTTGCAGCTGGAGATTTCAAGCGCTTTGAGGCCTATGGTAGAAAAGGAAACATCTTCTTATAAAATCTAGACAGAATCATTCACAGAAACTTCTTTTTGATGTGTTTGTTCAGCTCACAGAGTTTAACCTTTCCTTTGATGGAGCAGTTTGGAAACACTCTGTTTGTAATGTCTGCAAGTGGATATTTGGACCTCTTTGAGGCCTTCGTTGGAAACGGGATTTCTTCATGTAATGTTTGACAGAAGAATTCTCAGTAACTTCTTTGTGGTGTGTGTATTCAACTCACAGAGTTGAACCTTCCTTTAGACAGACCAGATTTGAAACAGCCTATTTGTGCAGTTTCCAGTTGGAGATTTCAATCGCTTTGAGACCAAATGTAGAAAAGGAAACATCTTCGTACAAAAACTAGACAGAATCATTCTCCGAAACTACTTTGTGATGTGTGCGTTCAACTCAAGGAGTTTAAGCTTTCTTTTCATAGAGTAGTTTGGAAACACTCTGTCTGTAAAGTCTGCAAGCAGATATTTGGACCTCTTTGGGGCCTTCGTTGGAAACGGGATTTCTTCATAGAACGCTAGAAAGAAGAATACTGAGTAAGTTCTTTGTGTTGCTTCTATTCAACTCACAGAGGTGAACTGTCCTTTAGACAGAGCAGATGTGAAACCCTCTTTTTGTGATATTTGCAGGTGGAGATTTCAAGCGCTTTTAGGCCAAATGTAGAAAAGGAAATATCTTCGTATAAAAACTAGACAGAATCATTCTCAGAAACTACTTTGTGATGTGTGCGTTCAATTCACAGAGTATAACTTTTCTTTTGATGGAGGAGTTTGGAGACACTGTCTTTGTAAGTCTGCAAGTGGATATTTGGACCTCTTTGAGGCCTTCGTTGGAAACGGGATTTCCTCATATAATGTTACACAGAAGAATTCTCAGTAACTTATTTGTGGTGTGTGTATTCAACTCACAGAGTTGAACCTTCCTTCAGAAAGAGCAGATTTGAAGCACTCTTTTTCTGGAGTTTCCATGTGGAGATTTCAATCGCTTTGAGAACAAAGGTAGAAAAGGAAACATCTTCGTATAAAAACTAGACAGAATCATTCACGGAAACTACTTTGTGATGTGTGTGTTCAACTCAAGGAGTTTAACCTTTCTTTTGATGGAGCAGTTTGGAAAAACTCTGTCTGTAAAGTCTGCAAGCAGATATTTGGACCTCTTTGAGGCCTTCGTTGGAGACGGGATTTCTTCATATAATGTTTGATAGGAGAAGTCTCAGTAACTTCTTTGTGCTGTGTGTATTCAACGCATAGAGTTGAACTTTCCTTTAGTAGAGCAGATGTTAAACACCCTTTTTGTGGAATTTGCAGCTGGAGATTTCAAGCGCTTTGAGGCCTACGGTAGAAAAGGAAACATCTTCTTATAAAATCTAGACAGAATCATTCACAGAAACTTCTTTTTGATGTGTGTGTTCAGCTCACAGAGTTTAACATTTCTTTTGATGGAGCAGTTTGGAAACACTCTGTTTGTAATGTCTGCAAGTGGATATTTGGACCTCTTTGAGGCCTTCATTGGAAACGGGATTTCTTCAAGTAATGTTCGACAGAAGTAATCTCAGTAACTTATTTGTGGTGTGTGTATTCAACTCACAGAGTTGAACCTTCCTTTAGACAGAGCAGATTTGAAACACCCTATTTGTGCAGGTTCCAGTTGGAGATTTCAATCGCTGTGAGACCAAATGTAGAAAAGGAAACATCTTCGTATAAAAACTAGACAGAATCATTCTCAGAAACTACTTTGTGATGTGTGCGTTCAACTCAAGGAGTTTAAGCTTTCTTTTCATAGAGTAGTTTGGAAACACTCTGTCTGTAAAGTCTGCAAGCAGATATTTGGACCTCTTTGAGGCCTTCGTTGGAAACGGGATTTCTTCATAGAACGCTAGAAAGACGAATACTGAGTAAGTTCTTTGTGTTGCCTCTATTCAACTCACAGAGGTGAACAGTCCTTTAGACAGAGCAGATGTGAAACCCTCTTTTTGTGATATTTGCCGGTGGAGATTTCAAGGGCTTTTAGGCCTAATGTAGAAAAGGAAATATCTTCGTATAAAAACTAGACAGAATCATTCTCAGTAGCTACTTTGTGATGTGTGCGTTCAATTCACAGAGTATAACCTTTCTTTTGATGGAGGAGTTTGGAGACACTGTCTTTGTAAAGTCTGCAAGTGGATATTTGGACCTCTTTGAGGCCTTCGTTGGAAATGGGATTTCCTCATATAATGTTACACAGAAGAATTCTCAGTAACTTATTTGTGGTGTGTGTATTCAACTCACAGAGATGAACCTTCCTTCAGAAAGAGCAGATTTGAAACACTCTTTTTGTGGAGTTTCCATGTGGAGATTTCAATCGCTTTGAGACCAAAGGTAGAAAAGGAAACATCTTCGTATCAAAACAAGACAGAATCATTCACAGAAACTACTTTGTGAGGTGTGTGTTCAACTCAAGGAGTTTAACCTTTCTTTTGATGGAGCAGTTTGGAAACACTCTGTCTGTAAAGTCTGCAAGCAGATATTTGGACCTCTTTGAGGCCTTCGTTGGAAACGGGATTTCTTCATATAATGTTTGATAGGAGAAGTCTCAGTAACTTCTTTGTGCTGTGTGTATTCAACTCATTGAGTTGAACTTTCCTTTAGAAGAGCATATGTTAAACACCCTTTTTGTGGAATTTGCAGCTGGAGATTTCAAGCGCTTTGAGGCCTACGGTAGAAAAGGAAACATCTTCTTATAAAATCTAGACAGAATCATTCACAGAAACTTCTTTTTGATGTGTGTGTTCAGCTCACAGAGTTTAACCTTTCTTTTGATGGAGCAGTTGGGAAACACACTGTTTGTAATGTCTGCAAGTGGATATTTGGACCTCTTTGAGGCCTTCGTTGGAAACGGGATTTCTTCCTGTAATGTTCGACAGAAGAATTCTCAGTAACTTATTTGTGGTGTGTGTATTCAACTCACAGAGCTGAACCTTCCTTTAGACAGAGCAGATTTGAAACAGCCTATTTGTGCAGTTTCCAGTTGGAGATTTCAATCGCTTTGAGACCAAATGTAGAAAAGGAAACGTCTTCGTACAAAAACTAGACAGAATCATTCTCAGAAACTACTTTGTGATGTGTGCGTTCAACTCAAGGAGTTTAAGCTTTCTTTTCATAGAGTAGTTTGGAAACACTCTGTCTGTAAAGTCTGCAAGCAGATATTTGACCTCTTTGCGGCCTTCGTTGGAAACGGGATTTCTTCATAGAACGCTAGAAAGAAGAATACTGAGTAAGTTCTTTGTGTTGCCTCTATTCAACTCACAGAGGTGAACTGTCCTTTAGACAGAGCAGATGTGAAAACCTCTTTTTGTGATATTTGCAGGTGGAGATTTCAAGCGCTTTTAGGCCAAATGTAGAAAAGGAAATATCTTCGTATAAAAACTAGACAGAATCATTCTCAGAAACTACTTTGTGATGTGTGCGTTCAATTCACAGAGTATAACCTTTCTTTTGATGGAGGAGTTTGGAGACACAGTCTTTGTAAAGTCTGCAAGTGGATATTTGGACCTCTTTGAGGCCTTCGTTGGAAACGGGATTTCCTCATATAATGTTACACAGAAGAATTCTCAGTAACTTATTTGTGGTGTGTGTATTCAACTCACAGATTTGAACCTTCCTTCAGAAAGAGCAGATTTGAAACACTCTTTTTGTGGAGTTTCCATGTGGAGATTTCAATCGCTTTGAGACCAAAGGTAGAAAAGGAAACATCTTCGTATAAAAACTGGACAGAATCATTCACAGAAACTACTTTGTGATGTGTGTGTTCAACTCAAGGAGTTTAACCTTTCTTTAGATGGAGCAGTTTGGAAACACTCTGTCTGTAAAGTCTGCAAGGAGCTATTTGGACCTCTTTGAGGCCTTCGTTGGAAACGGGGTTTCTTCATATAATGTTTGATAGGAGAAGTCTCAGTAACTTCTTTGTGCTGTGTGTATTCAACTCATAGAGTTGAACTTTCCTTTAGAAGAGCAGATGTTAAACACCCTTTTTGTGGAATTTGCAGCTGGAGATTTCAAGAGCTTTGAGGCCTACGGTAGAAAAGGAAACCTCTTCTTATAAAATCTAGACAGAATCATTCTCAGAAACTACTTTGTGATGTGTGCGTTCAATTCACAGAGTATAACCTTTTTTTTGATGGAGCAGTTTGGAAACACTCTGTTTGTAATGTCTGCAAGTGGATATTTGGACCTCTTTGAGGCCTTCGTTGGAAACGGGATTTCTTCAAGTAGTGTTCGAAAGAAGAATTCTCAGTAACTTATTTGTGGTGTGTGTATTGAACTCACAGAGTTGAACCTCCCTTTAGACAGAGCAGATTTGAAACACCCTATTTGTGCAGTTTCCAGTTGGAGATTTCAATCGCTTTGAGACCAAATGTAGAAAAGGAAATATCTTCGTATAAAAACTAGACAGAATCATTCTCAGAAACTACTTTGTGATGTGTGCGTTCAACTCAAGGAGTTTAAGCTTTCTTTTCATAGAGTAGTTTGGAAACACTCTGTCTGTAAAGTCTGCAAGCAGATATTTGGACCTCTTTGAGGCCTTCGTTGGAAACGGGATTTCTTCATAGAACGGTAGAAAGAAGAATACTCAGTAAGTTCTTTGTGTTGCCTCTATTCAACTCACAGAGGTGAACTGTCCTTTAGACAGAGCAGATGTGAAATCCTCTTTTTGTGATATTTGCAGGTGGAGATTTCAAGCGCTTTTAGGCCAAATGTAGAAAAGGAAATATCTTCGTATAAAAACTAGACAGAATCATTCTCAGAAACTACTTTGTGATGTGTGCGTTCAATGCACAGAGGATAACCTTTCTTTTGATGGAGGAGTTTGGAGACACTGTCTTTGTAAAGTCTGCAAGTGGATATTTGGACCTCTTTGAGGCCTTCATTGGAAACGGGATTTCCTCCTATAATGTTACACAGAAGAATTCTCAGTAACTTCTTTGTGGTGTGTGTATTCAACTCACAGAGTTGAACCTTCCTTCAGAAAAAGCAGATTTGAAACACTCTTTTTGTGGAGTTTCCATGGGGAGATTTCAATGGCTTTGAGACCAAAGGTAGAAAAGGAAACATCTTCGTATAAAAACTAGACAGAATCATTCACAGAAACTACTTTGTGATGTGTGTGTTCAACTCAAGGAGTTTAACCTTTCTTTTGATGGAGCTGTTTGGAAAAACTCTGTCTGTAAAGTCTGCAAGCAGATATTTGGACCTCTTTGGGGCCTTCGTTGGAAACGGGATTTCTTCATATAATGTTTGATAGGAGAAGTCTCAGTAACTTCTTTCTGCTGTGTTTATTCAACGCATAGAGTTGAACTTTCCTTTAGAAGAGCAGATGTTAAATACCCTTTTTGTAGAATTTGCAGCTGGAGATTTCAAGCGCTTTGAGGCCTACGGTAGAAAAGGAAACATCTTCTTATAAAATCTAGACAGAAACATTCACAGAAACTTCTTTTTGATGTGTGTGTTTATCTCACAGAGTTTAACCTTTCTTTTGATGGAGCAGTTTGCAAACACTGTGTTTGCCATGTCGGCAAGTGGATATTTGGACCTCTTTGAGGCCTTCGTTGGAAACGGGATTTCTTCATGTAATGTTCGACAGAAGAATTCTCAGTAACTTATTTGTGGTGTGTGTATTCAACTCACAGATTTGAACCTTCCTTTAGACAGAGCAGATTTGAAACACCCTATTTTTGCAGTTTCTAGTTGGAGATTTCAATCGCTTTGAGGCCAATCGTAGAAACGGAAATATCTTCGTATAAAAACAAGACAGAATCATTCTCAGAAACTACTTTGTGATGTGTGCGTTCAACTCACGGAGTTTAAGCTTTCTTTTCATAGAGTAGTTTGGAAACACTCTGTCTGTAAAGTCTGCAAGCAGATATTTGGACCTCTTTGAGGCCTTCGTTGGAAAAGGGATTTCTTCATGTAACGCTAGAAAGAAGAATACTGAGTAAGTTCTTTGTGTTGCCTCTATTCAACTCACAGAGGTGAACTGTCCTTTAGACAGAGCAGATGTGAAACCCTCTTTTTGTGATATTTGCAGGTGGAGATTTCAAGCGCTTTTAGGCCAAATGTAGAAAAGGAAATATCTTCGTATGAAAAGTAGACAGAATCATTCACAGAAACTACTTTGTGATGTGTGTGTTCAACTCAAGGAGTTTAACCTTTCTTTTGATGGAGCAGTTTGGAAACACTCTGTCTGTAAAGTCTGCAAGCAGATATTTGGACCTCTTTGAGGCCTTCGTTGGAAACGGGATTTATTAATATGATGTTTGATAGGAGAAGTCTCAGTAACTTCTTTGTGCTGTGTGTATTCAACTCATAGAGTTGAACTTTGCTTTAGAAGAGCAGATGTTGAACACCCTTTTTGTGGAATTTGCAGCTGGAGATTTCAAGCGCTTTGAGGCCTACGGTAGAAAAGGAAACATCTTCTTATAAAATCTAGACAGAATCATTCACAGAAACTTCTTTTTGATGTGTGTGTTCAGCTCACAGAGTTTAACCTTTCTTTTGATGGAGCAGTTGGGAAACACACTGTTTGTAATGTCTGCAAGTGGATATTTGGAGCTCTTTGAGGCCTTCGTTGGAAACGGGATTTCTTCCTGTAATGTTCGACAGAAGAATTCTCAGTAACTTATTTGTGGTGTGTGTATTCAACTCACAGAGCTGAACCTTCCTTTAGACAGAGCAGATTTGAAGCAGCCTATTTGTGCAGTTTCCAGTTGGAGATTTCAATCGCTTTGAGACCAAATGTAGAAAAGGAAACATCTTCGTATAAAAACTAGACAGAATCATTCTCAGAAACTACTTTGTGATGTGTGCGTTCAACTCAAGGAGTTTAAGCTTTCTTTTCATAGAGTAGTTTGGAAACACTCTGTCTGTAAAGTCTGCAAGCAGATATTTGACCTCTTTGAGGCCTTCGTTGGAAACGGGATTTCTTCATAGAACGCTAGAAAGAAGAATACTGAGTAAGTTCTTTGTGTTGCCTCTATTCAACTCACAGAGGTGAACTGTCCTTTAGACAGAGCAGATGTGAAACCCTCTTTTTCTGATATTTGCAGGTGGAGAATTCAAGCGCTTTTAGGCCAAATGTAGAAAAGGAAATATCTTCGTATAAAAACTAGACAGAATCATTCTCAGAAACTACTTTGTGATGTGTGCGTTCTATTCACAGAGTATAACCTTTCTTTTGATGGAGGAGTTTGGAGACACTGTCTTTGTATAGTCTGCAAGTGGATATTTGGACCTCTTTGAGGCCTTCGTTGGAAACGGGATTTCCTCATATAATGTTACACAGAAGAATTCTCAGTAACTTATTTGTGGTGTGTGTATTCAACTCACAGAGTTGAACCTTCCTTCAGAAAGAGCAGATTTGAAACACTCTTTATGAGGAGTTTCCATGTGGAGATTTCAATCGCTTTGAGACCAAAGGTAGAAAAGGAAACATCTTCTTATAAAAACTAGACAGAATCATTCACAGAAACTACTTTGTGATGTGTGTGTTCAACTCAAGGAGTTTAACCTTTCTTTTGATGGAGCAGTTTGGAAAAACTCTGTCTGTAAAGTCTGCAAGCAGATATTTGGACCTCTTTGGGGCCTTCATTGGAAACGGGATTTCTTCATAGAATGCTAGAAAGAAGAAGTCTCAGTAACTTCTTTGTGCTGTGTGTATTCAACTCATAGAGTTGAACTTTCCTTTAGAAGAGCAGATGTTAAACACCCTTTTTGTGGAATTTGCAGCTGGAGATTTCAAGCGCTTTGTGGCCTACGGTAGAAAAGGAAACATCTTCTTATAAAATCTAGACAGAATCATTCACAGAAACTACTTTGTGATGTGAGTGTTCAGCTCACAGAGTTTAACCTTTCTTTTGATGGTGCAGTTTGGAAACACTCTGTTTGACAAGTCTGCAAGTGGATATTTGGACCTCTTTGAGGCCTTCGTTGGAAACGGGATTTCTTCATATAATGTTAGACAGAAGAAGTCTCAGTAACTTCTTTGTGTTGTGTGTATTCAACTCACAGAGCTGAACTTTACTTTAGACAGAGCAGATGTTAAACACACTTTTTTGTGGAATTTGGAGCTGGAGATTTCTAGCGCTTTGAGGCCTATGGTAGAAAAGGAAATATTTTCTTATAAAATCTAGACAGAATCATTCTCAGAAACTACTTTGTGATGTGTGCGTTCAACTGAAGGAGTTTAAGCTTTCTTTTCATAGAGTAGTTTGGAAACACTCTGTCTGTAAAGTCTGCAAGCAGATATTTGGACCTCTTTGAGGCCTTCGTTGGAAACGGGATTTCTTCATATAACGCTAGAAAGAAGAATACTGAGTAAGTTCTATGTGTTGCCTCTATTCAATTCACAGAGGTGAACTGTCCTTTAGACAGAGCAGATGTGAAACCCTCTTTTTGTGATATTTGCACGTGGAGATTTCAAGCGCTTTTAGGCCAAATGTAGAAAAGGAAATATCTTCGTATAAAAACTAGACAGAATCATTCTCACAAACTACTTTGTGATGTGTGCGTTCAATTCACAGAGTATAACCTTTCTTTTGATGGAGGAGTTTGGAGACACTGTCTTTGTAAAGTCTGCAAGTGGATATTTGGACCTCTTTGAGGCCTTCGTTGGAAACGGGATTTCCTCATATAATGTTACACAGAAGAATTCTCAGTAACTTACTTGTGGTGTGTGTATTCAACTCACAAAGTTGAACCTTCCTTCAGAAAGAGCAGATTTGAAACACTCTTTTTGTGGAGTTTCCATGGGGAGATTTCAATGGCTTTGAGACCAAAGGTAGAAAAGGAAACATCTTCGTATAAAAACTAGACAGAATCATTCACAGAAACTACTTTGTGATGTGTGTGTTCAACTCAAGGAGTTTAACCTTTCTTTTGATGGAGCAGTTTGGAAAAACTCTGTCTGTAAAGTCTGCAAGCAGATATTTGGACCTCTTTGAGGCCTTCGTTGGAAACGGGATTTCTTCATAGAATGCTAGAAAGAAGAATACTGAGTAAGTTCTTTGTGTTGCCTCTATTCAACTCACAGAGGTGAACTGTCCTTTAGACAGAGCAGATGTGAAACCCTCTTTTTGTGATATTTGCAGGTGGAGATTTCAAGCGCTTTTAGGCCAAATGTATAAAAGGAAATATCTTCGTATAAAAACTAGACAGAATCATTCTCAGCAAACTACTTTGTGATGTGTGCGTTCAATTCACATAGGATAACCTTTCTTTTGATGGAGGGGTTTGGAGACACTGTCTTTGTAAAGTCTGCAAGTGGATATTTGGACCTCTTTGAGGCCTTCGTTGGAAACGGGATTTCCTCCTATAATGTTACACAGAAGAATTCTCAGTAACTTATTTGTGGTGTGTGTATTCAACTCACAGAGTTGAACCTTCCTTCAGAAAGAGCAGATTTGAAACACTCTTTTTGTGGAGTTTCCATGTGGAGATTTCAATCGCTTTGAGACCAAAGGTAGAAAAGCAAACATCTTCGTATAAAAACTAGACAGAATCATTCACAGAAACTACTTTGTGATGTGTGTGTTCAACTCAAGGAGTTTAACCTTTCTTTTGATGGAGCAGTTTGGAAACACACTGTCTGTAAAGTCTGCAAGCAGATATTTGGACCTCTTTGAGGCCTTCGTTGGAAACGGGATTTCTTCATATAATGTTTGATAGAAGAATTCTCAGTAACTTATTTGTGGTGTGTTTATTCAACTCACAGAGTTGAACCTTCCTTCAGAAAGAGCAGATTTGAAACACGCTTTTTGTGGAGTTTCCATGTGGAGATATCAATCGCTTTGAGACCAAACGTAGAAAAGGAAACATCTTCGTATAAAAACTAGACAGAATCATTCACAGAAACTTCTTTGTGATGTGTGTGTTCAGCTCACAGAGTTTAACCTTTCTTTTGATGGAGCAGTTTGGAAACACTCTGTTTGTAATGTCTGCAAGTGGATATTTGGACCTCTTTGAGGCCTTCGTTGGAAATCGGATTTCTTCATGTAATGTTCGACAGAAGAATTCTCAGTAACTTATTTGTGGTGTGTGTATTCAACTCAAAGAGTTGAACCTTCCTTTAGACAGAGCAGATTTGAAACACCCTATTTGTGCAGTTTCCAGTTGGAGATTTCAATCGCTTTGAGACCAAATGTAGAAAAGGAAACATCTTCGTATAAAAACTAGACAGAATCATTCTCAGAAACTACTTTGTGATGTGTGCGTTCAACTCAAGGAGTTTAAGCTTTCTTTTCATAGAGTAGTTTGGAAACACTCTGTCTGTAAAGTCTGCAAGCAGATATTTGGACCTCACTGGGGCCTTCGTTGCAAACGTGATTTCTTCATAGAACGCTGGAAAGAAGAATACTGAGTAAGTTCTTTGTGTTGCCTCTACTCAACTCACAGAGGTGAACTGTCCTTTAGACAGAGCAGATGTGAAACCCTCTTTTTGTGATATTTGCAGGTGGAGATTTCAAGCGCTTTTAGGCCAAATGTAGAAAAGGAAATATCTTCGTATAAAAACTAGACAGAATCATTCTCAGAAACTACTTTGTGATGTGTGCGTTCAATTCACAGAGTATAACCTTTCTTTTGATGGAGGAGTTTGGAGACACTGTCTTTGTAAAGTCTGCAAGTGGATATTTGGACCTCTTTGAGGCCTTCGTTGGAAACGGGATTTCCTCATATAATGTTACCCAGAAGAATTCTCAGTAACTTATTTGTGGTGTGTGTATTCAACTCACAGAGTTGAACCTTCCTTCAGAAAGAGCAGATTTGAAACACTCTTTTTGTGGAGTTTCCATGTGGAGATTTCAATCGCTATGAGACCAAAGGTAGAAAAGGAAACATCTTCGTATAAAAACTAGACAGAATCATTCACAGAAACTACTTTGTGATGTGTGTGTTCAACTCAAGGAGTTTAACCTTTCTTTTGATGGAGCAGTTTAAAAACACTCTGTCTGTAAAGTCGGCAAGCAGATATTTGGACCTCTTTGAGGCCTTCGTTGGAAACGGGATTTCTTCATATAATGTTTGATAGGAGAAGTCTCAGTAACTTCTTTGTGCTGTGTGTATTCAACTCATAGAGTTGAACTTTCCTTTAGAAGAGCTGATGTTAAACACCCTTTTTGTGGAATTTGCAGCTGGAGATTTCAAGCGCTTTGAGGCCTACGGTAGAAAAGGAAACATCTTCTTATAAAATCTAAACAGAATCATTCACAGAAACTTCTTTTTGATGTGTGTGTTCAGCTCACAGAGTTTAACCTTTCTTTTGATGGAGCAGTTTGGAAACACTCTGTTTGTAATGTCTGCAAGTGCATATTTGGACCTCTTTGAGGCCTTCGTTGGAAACGGGATTTCTTCCTGTAATGTTCGACAGAAGAATTCTCAGTAACTTATTTGTGGTGTGTGTATTCAACTCCCAGAGTTGAACCTTCCTTTAGACAGAGCAGATTTGAAACACCCTATTTGTGCAGTTTCCAGTTGGAGATTTCAATCGCTTTGAGACCAAATGTAGAAAAGGAAACATCTTCGTATAAAAACTAGACAGAATCATTCTCAGAAACTACTTTGTGATGTGTGCGTTCAACTCAAGGAGTTTAAGCTTTCTTTTCATAGAGTCGTTTGGAAACACTCTGTCTGTAAAGTCTGCAAGCAGATATTTGGACCTCTTTGAGGCCTTCATTGGAAACGGGATTTCTTCATATAACGCTAGAAAGAAGAATACTGAGTAAGTTCTTTGTGTTGCCTCTATTCAACTCACAGAGGTGAACTGTCCTTTAGACAGAGGAGATGTGAAACACTCTTTTTGTGATATTTGCAGGTGGAGATTTCAAGCGCTTTTAGGCCAAATGTAGAAAAGGAAATATCTTCGTATAAAAACTAGACAGAATCATTCTCAGAAACTACTTTGTGATGTGTGCGTTCAATTCACAGAGTATAACCTTTCTTTTGATGGAGGAGTTTGGAGACACTGTCTTTGTAAAGTCTGCATGTGGATATTGGGACCTCTTTGAGGCCTTCGTTGGAAATGGGATTTCCTCATATAATGTTACACAGAAGAATACTGAGTAAGTTCTTTGTGTTGCCTCTATTCAACTCAAAGAGTTGAACTTTCCTTTAGACAGAGCAGATTTGAAACACCCTATTTGTGCAGTTTCCAGTTGGAGATTTCAATTGCTTTGAGGCCAATCATAGAAACGGAAATATCTTCGTATAAAAACTAGACAGAATCATTCTCAGAAACTACTTTGTGATGTGTGCGTTCAACTCAAGGAGTTTAAGCTTTGTTTTCATAGAGTAGTTTGCAAACACTCTGTCAGTAAAGTCTGCAAGCAGATATTTGGACCTCTTTGAGGCCTTCGTTGGAAACGGGATTTCTTCATATTATGTTTGATAGGAGAAGTCTCAGTAACTTCTTTGTGCTGTGTGTATTCAACTCATAGAGTTGAACTTTCCTTTAGAAGAGCAGATGTTAAACACCCCTTTTGTGGAATTTGCAGCTGGAGATTTCAAGCGCTTCGAGGCCTACGGTAGAAAAGGAAACATCTTATAAAATCTAGACAGAATCATTCACAGAAACTTCTTTTTGATGTGTGTGTTCAGCTCACAGAGTTTAACCTTTCTTTTGATGGAGCAGTTTGGAAACACTCTGTTTGTAATGTCTGCAAGTGGATATTTGGACCTCTTTGAGGCCTTCGCTGGAAACGGGATTTCTTCCTGTAATGTTCGACAGAAGAATTCTCAGTAACTTATTTGTGGTGTGTGTATTCAACTCAAAGAGTTGAACCTTCCTTTAGACAGAGCAGATTTGAAACACCCTATTTGTGCAGTTTCCAGTTGGAGATTTCAATCGCTTTGAGACCAAATGTAGAAAAGGAAACATCTTCGTATAAAAACTAGACAGAATCATTCTCAGAAACTACTTTGTGATGTGTGCGTTCAACTCAAGGAGTTTAAGCTTTCTTTTCATAGAGTAGTTTGGAAACACTCTGTCTGTAAAGTCTGCCAGCAGATATTTGGACCTCTTTGGGGCCTTCGTTGGAAACGGGATTTCTTCATAGAACGCTAGAAAGAAGAATACTGAGTAAGTTCTTTGTGTTGCCTCTATTCAACTCACAAAGGTGAACTGTCCTTTAGACAGAGCAGATGTGAAACCCTCTTTTTGTGATATTTGCAGGTGGAGACTTCAAGCGCTTTTAGGCCAAATGTAGAAAAGGAAATATCTTCGTATAAAAACTAGACAGAATCATTCTCAGAAACTACTTTGTGATGTGTGCGTTCAATTCACAGAGTATAACCTTTCTTTTGATGGAGGAGTTTGGAGACACTGTCTTTGTAAAGTCTGCAAGCAGATATTTGGACCTCTTTGAGGCCTTCGTTGGAAACGGGGTTTCTTCATATAATGTTTGATAGGAGAATTCTCAGTAACTTATTTGTGGTGTGTGTATTCAACTCACAGAGTTGAACCTTCCCTCAGAAAGAGCAGATTTGAAACACTCTTTTTGTGGAGTTTCCATGTGGAGATTTCAATCGCATTGAGACCAAAGGTAGAAAAGGAAACATCTTCGTATAAAAACTAGACAGAATCATTCACAGAAACTACTTTGTGATGTGTGTGTTCAACTCAAGGAGTTTAACCTTTCTTTTGATGGAGCAGTTTGGAAACACTCTGTCTGTAAAGTCTGCAAGCAGATATTTGGACCTCTTTGAGGCCTTCTTTGGAAATGGGATTTCTTCATATAATGTTTGATAGGAGAAGTCTCAGTAACTTCTTTGTGCTGTGTGTATTCAACTCATAGAGTTGAACTTTCCTTTAGAAGAGCAGATGTTAAACACACTTTTTGTGGAATTTGCAGCTGGAGATTTCAAGCGCTTTGAGGCCTACGGTAGAAAAGGAAACATCTTCTTATAAAATCTAGAGAGA
>NC_000012.12:36673455-36779839 GCF_000001405.40 Homo sapiens
GGCCTGCGCCCACTGTCTGGCACTCCCTATTGAGATGAACCCGGTACCTCAGATGGAAATGCAGAAATCACCCGTCTTCTGCGTCGCTCACGCTGGGAGCTGTAGACCGGAGCTGTTCCTATTCGGCCATCTTCTGAACTGTCCTTTAGACAGAGCAGATGTGAAACCCTCTTTTTGTGATATTTGCAGGTGGAGATTTCAAGCGCTTTTAGGCCAAATGTAGAAAAGGAAATATCTTCGTATAAAAACTAGACAGAATATCATTCTCAGAAACTACTTTGTGATGTGTGCGTTCAAATCACAGAGTATAACCTTTCTTTTGATGGAGGAGTTTGGAGACACTGTCTTTGTAAAGTCTGCAAGTGGATATTTGGACCTCTTTGAGGCCTTCGTTGGAAACGGGATTTCCTCATATAATGTTACACAGAAGAATTCTCAGTAACTTATTTGTGGTGTGTGTATTCAACTCACAGAGTTGAACCTTCCTTCAGAAAGAGCAGATTTGAAACACTCTTTTTGAGGAGTTTCCATGTGGAGATTTCAATCGCTTTGAGACCAAAGGTAGAAAAGGAAACATCTTCTTATAAAAACTAGACAGAATCATTCACAGAAACTACTTTGAGATGTGTGTTTTCAACTCACAGAGTTTAACCTTTCTTTTGATGGAGCAGTTTGGAAACACTCTGTTTGTCACGTCTGCAAGTGGATATTTGGACCTCTTTGAGGCCTTCGTTGGAAACGGGATTTCTTCATATAATGTTTGATAGGAGAATTCTCAGTAACTTATTTGTGGTGTGTTTATTCAACTCACAGAGTTGAACCTTCCTTCAGAAAGAGCAGATTTCAAACACTCTTTTTGTGGAGTTTCCATGTGGAGATTTCAATCGCTTTGAGACCAAAGGTAGAAAAGGAAACATCTTCGTATAAAAACTAGACAGAATCATTCACAGAAACTACTTTGTGATGTGTGTGTTCAACTCACAGAGTTTAACCTTTCTTTTGATGGAGCAGTTTGGAAACACTCTGTTTTTCACGTCTGCAAGTGGATATTTGGACCTCTTTGAGGCCTTCGTTGGAAACGGGATTTCTTCTTATAACGCTAGAAAGAATAATACTCAGTAACTTCTTTGTGTTGCCTCTATTCAACCCACAGAGGTGAACTGTCCTTTAGACAGAGCAGATGGGAAACCCTCTTTTTGTGATATTTGCAGGTGGAGATTTCAAGCGCTTTTAGGCCAAATGTAGAAAAGGAAATATCTTCATATAAAAACTAGACAGAATCATTCTCAGAAACTACTTTGTGATGTGTGTGTTCAATTCACAGAGTATAACCTTTCTTTTGATGGAGGAGTTTGGAGACACTGTCTTTGTAAAGTCTGCAAGTGGATATTTGGACCTCTTTGAGGCCTTCGTTGGAAACGGGATTTCCTCATATAATGTTACACAGAAGAATTCTCAGTAACTTATTTGTGGTGTGTGTATTCAACTCACAGAGTTGAACCTTCCTTCAGAAAGAGCAGATTTGAAACACTCTTTTTGTGGAGTTTCCATGTGGAGATTTCAATCGCTTTGAGACCAAAGGTAGAAAAGGAAACATCTTCGTATAAAAACTTGACAGAATCATTCACAGAAACTACTTTGTGATGTGTGTGTTCAACTCAAGGAGTTTAACCTTTCTTTTGATGGAGCAGTTTGGAAAAACTCTGTGTGTAAAGTCTGCAGGCAGATATTTGGACCTCTTTGGGGCCTTCGTTGGAAATGGGATTTCTTCATAGAATGCTAGAAAGAAGAAGTCTCAGTAACTTCTTTGTGCTGTGTGTATTCAACTCATAGAGTTGAACTTTCCTTTAGAAGAGCAGATGTTAAACACCCTTTTTGTGGAATTTGCAGCTGGAGATTTCAAGCGCTTTGAGGCCTACGGTAGAAAAGGAAACATCTTCTTATAAAATCTAGACAGAATCATTCTCAGAAACTACTTTGTGATGTGTGCGTTCAACTCACGGAGTTTAAGCTTTCTTTTCATAGAGTAGTTTGGAAACACTCTGTCTGTAAAGTCTGCAAGCAGATATTTGGACCTCTTTGAGGCCTTCGTTGGAAACGGGATTTCTTCATGTAATGTTCGAGAGAAGAATTCTCAGTAACTTATTTGTGGTGTGTGTATTCAACTCACAGAGTTGAACCTTCCTTTAGACAGAGCAGATTTGAAACACCCTATTTGTGCAGTTTCCAGTTGGAGATTTCAATCGCTTTGAGGCCAATCGTAGAAACGGAAATATCTTCGTATAAAAACTAGACAGAATCATTCTCAGAAACTACTTTGTGATGTGTGCGTTCAACTCAAGGAGTTTAAGCTTTCTTTTCATAGAGTAGTTTGGAAACACTCTGTCTGTAAAGTCTGCAAGCAGATATTTGGACCTCTTTGGGGCCTTCGTTGGAAACGGGATTTCTTCATAGAACGCTAGAAAGAAGAATACTGAGTAAGTTCTTTGTGTTGCCTCTATTCAACTCACAGAGGTGAACTGTCCTTTAGACAGAGCAGATGTGAAACCCTCTTTTTGTGATATTTGCACGTGGAGATTTCAAGCGCTTTTAGGCCAAATGTAGAAAAGGAAATATCTTCGTATAAAAACTAGACAGAATCATTCTCAGAAACTACTTTGTGATGTGTGCGTTCAATTCACAGAGTATAACCTTTCTTTTGATGGAGGAGTTTGGAGACACTGTCTTTGTAAAGTCTGCAAGTGGATATTTGGACCTCTTTGATGCCTTCGTTGGAAACGGGTTTTCCTCATATAATGTTACACAGAAGAATTCTCAGTAACTTATTTGTGGTGTGTGTATTCAACTCACAGAGTTGAACCTTCCTTCAGAAAGAGCAGATTTGAAACACTCTTTTTGTGGAGTTTCCATGTGGAGATTTCAATCGCTTTGAGACCAAAGGTAGAAAAGGAAACATCTTCGTATAAAAACTAGACAGAATCATTCACAGAAACTACTTTGTGATGTGTGTGTTCAACTCAAGGAGTTTAACCTTTCTTTTGATGGAGCAGTTTGGAAACACTCTGTCTGTAAAGTCTGCAAGCAGATATTTGGACCTCTTTGAGGCCTTCGTTGGAAACGGGATTTCTTCATATAATGTTTGATAGGAGAAGTCTCAGTAACTTCTTTGTGCTGTGTGTATTCAACTCATAGAGTTGAACTTTCCTTTAGAAGAGCAGATGTTAAACACCCTTTTTGTGGAATTTGCAGCTGGAGATTTCAAGCGCTTTGAGGCATACGGTAGAAAAGGAAACATCTTCTTATAAAATCTAGACACAATCATTCACAGAAACTTCTTTTTGATGTGTGTGTTCAGCTCACAGAGTTTAACCTTTGTTTTGATGGAGCAGTTTGGAAACACACTGTTTGTAGTGTCTGCAAGTGGATATTTGGACCTCTTTGAGGCGTTCGTTGGAAACGGGATTTCTTCATGTAATGTTCGACAGAAGAATTCTCAGTAACTTATTTGTGGTGTGTGTATTCAACTCACAGAGTTGAACCTTCCTTTAGACAGAGCAGATTTGAAACACCCTATTTGTGCAGTTTCCAGTTGGAGATTTCAATCGCTTTGAGGCCAATCGTAGAAACGGAAATATCTTCGTATAAAAACAAGACAGAATCATTCTCAGAAACTACTTTGTGATGTGTGCGTTCAACTCAAGGAGTTTAAGCTTTCTTTTCATAGAGTAGTTTGGAAACATTCTGTCTGTAAAGTCTGCAGGCAGATATTTGGACCTCTTTGGGGCCTTCGTTGGAAACGGGATTTCTTCATAGAACGCCAGAAAGAAGAATACTGAGTAAGTTCTTGGTGTTGCCTCTATTCAACTCACAGAGGTGAACTGTCCTTTAGACAGAGCAGATGTGAAACCCTCTTTTTGTGATATTTGCAGGTGGAGATTTCAAGCGCTTTTAGGCCAAATGTAGAAAAGGAAATATCTTCGTATAAAAACTAGACAGAATCATTCTCAGAAACTACTTTGTGATGTGTGCGTTCAATTCACAGAGTATAACCTTTCTTTTGATGGAGGAGTTTGGAGACACTGTCTTTGTAAAGTCTGCAAGTGGATATTTGCACCTCTTTGAGGCCTTCGTTGGAAACGGGATTTCCTCATATAATGTTACACAGAAGAATTCTCAGTAACTTATTTGTGGTGTGTGTATTCAACTCACAGAGTTGAACCTTCCTTTAGACAGAGCAGATTTGAAACACCCTATTTGTGCAGTTTCCAGTTGGAGATTTCAATCGCTTTGAGACCAAATGTAGAAAAGGAAACATCTTCGTATAAAAAATAGACAGAATCATTCTCAGAAACTACTTTGTGATGTGTGTGTTCAACTCAAGGAGTTTAAGCTTTCTTTTGATGGAGCAGTTTGGAAAGACTCTGTCTGTAAAGTCTGCAAGCAGATATTTGGACCTCTTTTAGGCCTTCGTTGGAAACGGGATTTCTTCATATAATGTTTGATACGAGAAGTCTCAGTAACTTCCTTGTGCTGTGTGTATTCAACTCATAGAGTTGAACTTTCCTTTAGAAGAGCAGATGTTAAACACCCTTTTTGTGGAATTTGCAGCTGGAGATTTCAAGCGCTTTGAGTCCTACGGTAGAAAAGGAAACATCTTATAAAATCTTGACAGAATCATTCACAGAAACTTCTTTTTGATGTGTGTGTTCAGCTCACAGAGTTTAACCTTTCTTTTGATGGAGCAGTTTGGAAACACTCTGTTTGTAATGTCTGCAAGTGGATATTTGGACCTCTTTGAGGCCTTCGTTGGAAACGGGATTTCTTCCTGTAATGTTCGACAGAAGGATTCTCAGTAACTTATTTGTGGTGTGTGTATTCAACTCACAGAGTTGAACCTTCCTTTAGAGAGAGCAGATTTGAAACACCCTATTTGTGCAGTTTCCAGTTGGAGATTTCAATCGCTTTGAGACCAAATGTAGAAAAGGAAACATCTTCGTATAAAAACTAGACAGAATCATTCTCAGAAACTACTTTGTGATGTGTGCGTTCAACTCAAGGAGTTTAAGCTTTCTTTTCATAGAGTAGTTTGGAAAAACTCTGTCTGTAAAGTCTGCAAGCAGATATTTGGACCTCTTTGGGGTCTTCGTTGGAAACGGGATTTGTTCATAGAATGCTAGAAAGAAGAATACTGAGTAAGTTCTTTGTGTTGCCTCTATTCAACTCACAGAGGTGAACTGTCCTTTAGACAGAGCAGATGTGAAACCCTCTTTTTGTGATATTTGCAGGTGGAGATTTCAAGCGCTTTTAGGCCAAATGTAGAAAAGGAAATATCTTCGTATAAAAACTAGACAGAATCATTCTCAGAAACTACTTTGTGATGTGTGCGTTCAATTCACAGAGTATAACCTTTCTTTTGATGGAGGAGTTGGGAGACACTGTCTTTGTAAAGTCTGCAAGTGGATATTTGGACCTCTTTGAGGCCTTCGTTGGAAACGGGATTTCCTCATATAATGTTACACAGAAGAATTCTCAGTAACTTATTTGTGGTGTGTGTATTCAACTCACAGAGTTGAACCTTCCTTCAGAAAGAGCAGATTTGAAACACTCTTTTTGTGGAGTTTCCATGTGGAGATTTCAATCGCTTTGAGACCAAAGGTAGAAAAGGAAACATCTTCGTATAAAAACTAGACAGAATCATTCACAGAAAGTACTTTGTGATGTGTGTGTTCAACTCAAGGAGTTTAACCTTTCTTTTGATGGAGCAGTTTGGAAACACTCTGTCTGTAAAGTCTGCAAGCAGATATTTGGACCTCTTTGAGGCCTTCGTTGGAAACGGGATTTCTTCATATAATGTTAGATAGGAGAAGTCTCAGTAACTTCTTTGTGCTGTGTGTATTCAACTCATAGAGTTGAACTTTCCTTTAGAAGAGCAGATGTTAAACACCCTTTTTGTGGAATTTGCAGCTGGAGATTTCAAGCCCTTTGAGGCCTACGGTAGAAAAGGAAACATCTTCTTATAAAATCTAGACAGAATCATTCACAGAAACTTCTTTTTGATGTGTGTGTTCAGCTCACAGAGTTTAACCTTTCTTTTGATGGAGCAGTTTGGAAACACTCTGTTTGTAATGTCTGCAAGTCGATATTTCGACCTCTTTGAGGCCTTCGTTGGAAACGGGATTTCTTCAAGTAATGTTCGACAGAAGAATTCTCAGTAACTTATTTGTGGTGTGTGTATTCAACTCACAGAGTTGAACCTTCCTTTAGACAGAGCAGATTTGAAACAGCCTATTTGTGCAGTTTCCAGTTGGAGATTTCAATCGCTTTGAGACCAAATGGAGAAAAGGAAACATCTTCGTATAAAAACTAGACAGAATCATTCTCAGAAACTACTTTGTGATGTGTGCGTTCAACTCAAGGAGTTTAAGCTTTCTTTTCATAGAGTAGTTTGGAAACACTCTGTCTGTAAAGTCTGCAAGCAGATATTTGGACCTCTTTGGGGCCTTCGTTGGAAACGGGATTTCTTCATAGAACGCTAGAAAGAAGAATACTGAGTAAGTTCTTTGTGTTGCCTCTATTCAACTCACAGAGGTGAACTGTCCTTTAGACAGAGCAGATGTGAAACCCTCTTTTTGTGATATTTCCAGGTGGAGATTTCAAGCGCTTTTAGGCCAAATGTAGAAAAGGAAATATCTTCGTATAAAAACTAGACAGAATCATTCTCAGAAACTACTTTGTGATGTGTGCGTTCAATTCACAGAGTATAACCTTTCTTTTGATGGAGGAGTTTGGAGACACTGTCTTTGTAAAGTCTGCAAGTGGATATTTGGACCTCTTTGAGGCCTTCGTTGGAAACGGGATTTCCTCATATAATGTTACCCAGAAGAATTCTCAGTAACTTATTTGTGGTGTGTGTATTCAACTCACAGAGTTGAACCTTCCTTCAGAAAGAGCAGATTTGAAACACTCTTTTTGTGGAGTTTCCATGTGGAGATTTCAATCGCTTTGAGACCAAAGGTAGAAAAGGAAACATCTTCGTATAAAAACTAGACAGAATCATTCACAGACACTACTTTGTGATGTGTGTGTTCAACTCACAGAGTTTAACCTTTCTTTGGATGGAGCAGTTTGGAAACACTCTGTTTGTCACGTCTGCAAGTGGATATTTGGACCTCTTTGAGGCCTTCGTTGGAAACGGGATTTCCTCCTATAATGTTACACAGAAGAATTCTCAGTAACATATTTGTGGTGTGTGTATTCAACTCACAGAGTTGAACCTTCCTTCCGAAAGAGCAGATTTGAAACACTCTTTTTGTGGAGTTTCCATGTGGAGATTTCAATCGCTTTGAGACCAAAGGTAGAAAAGGAAACATCTTCGTATAAAAACTAGACAGAATCATTCACAGAAACTACTTTGTGATGTGTGTGTTCAACTCAAGGAGTTTAACCTTTCTTTTGATGGAGCAGTTTGGAAACACTCTGTCTGTAAAGTCTGCAAGCAGATATTTGGACCTCTTTGAGGCCTTCGTTGGAAACGGGATTTCTTCATAGAACGCTAGAAAGAAGAATACTCAGTAACTTCTTTGTGTTGAATCTATTCAACTCACAGAGGTGAACTGTCCTTTAGACAGAGCAGATGTGAAACCCTCTTTTTGTGATATTTGCAGGTGGAGATTTCAAGCGCTTTTTGGCCAAATGTAGAAAAGGAAATATCTTCGTATAAAAACTAGACAGAATCATTCTCAGAAACTACATTGTGATGTGTGCTCAATTCACAGAGTATAACCTTTCTTTTGATGGAGGAGTTTGGAGACACTGTCTTTGTAAAGTCTGCAAGTGGACATTTGGACCTCTTTGAGGCCTTCGTTGGAAACGGGATTTCCTCATATAATGTTACACAGAAGAATTCTCAGTAACTTATTTGTGGTGTGTGTATTCAACTCACAGAGATGAACCTTCCTTCAGAAAGAGCAGATTTGAAACACTCTTTTTGTGGAGTTTCCATGTGGAGATTTCAATCGCTTTGAGACCAAAGGTAGAAAAGGAAACATCTTCGTATAAAAACTAGACAGAATCATTCACAGAAACTACTTTGTGATGTGTGTGTTCAACTCAAGGAGTTTAACCTTTCTTTTGATGGAGCAGTTTGGAAAAACTCTGTCTGTAAAGTCTGCAAGCAGATATTTGGACCTCTTTGAGGCCTTCGTTGGAAACGGGATTTCTTCATATAATGTTTGATAGGAGAAGTCTCAGTAACTTCTTTGTGCTGTGTGTATTCAACTCATAGAGTTGAACTTTCCTTTAGAAGAGCAGATGTTAAACACCCTTTTTGTGGAATTTGCAGCTGGAGATTTCAAGCGCTTTGAGGCCTACGGTAGAAAAGGAAACATCTTCTTATAAAATCTAGACAGAATCATTCACAGAAACTTCTTTTTGATGTGTGTGTTCAGCTCACAGAGTTTAACCTTTCTTTTGATGGAGCAGTTGGGAAACACACTGTTTGTAATGTCTGCAAGTGGATATTTGGACCTCTTTGAGGCCTTCGTTGGAAACGGGATTTCTTCCTGTAATGTTCGACAGAAGAATTCTCAGTAACTTATTTGTGGTGTGTGTATTCAACTCACAGAGATGAACCTTCCTTCAGAAAGAGCAGATTTGAAACACTCTTTTTGTGGAGTTTCCATGTGGAGATTTCAATCGCTTTGAGACCAAAGGTAGAAAAGGAAACATCTTCGTATAAAAACAAGACAGAATCATTCACAGAAACTACTTTGTGATGTGTGTGTTCAACTCAAGGAGTTTAACCTTTCTTTTGATGGAGCAGTTTGGAAAAACTCTGTCTGTAAAATCTGCAAGCAGATATTTGGACCTCTTTGGGGCCTTCGTTGGAAATGGGATTTCTTCATAGAATGCTAGAAAGAAGAATACTGAGTAAGTTCTTTGTGTTGCCTCTATTCAACTCACAGAGGTGAACTGTCCTTTAGACAGAGCAGATGTGAAACCCTCTTTTTGTGATATTTGCAGGTGGAGATTTCAAGCGCTTTTAGGCCAAATGTAGAAAAGGAAATATCTTCGTATAAAAACTAGACAGAATCATTCTCAGAAACTACTTTGTGATGTGTGCGTTCAATTCACAGAGTATAACCTTTCTTTTGATGGAGGAGTTTGGAGACCCTGTCTTTGTAAAGTCTGCAAGTGGATATATGGACCTCTTTGAGGCCTTCGTTGGAAACGGGATTTCCTCATATAATGTTACACAGAAGAATTCTCAGTAACTTATTTGTGGTGTGTGTATTCAACTCACAGAGTTGAACCTTCCTTCAGAAAGAGCAGATTTGAAACACTCTTTTTGTGGAGTTTCCATGTGGAGATTTCAATCGCATTGAGACCAAAGGTAGAAAAGGAAACATCTTCGTATATAAACTAGACAGAATCATTCACAGAAACTACTTTGTGATGTGTGTGTTCAACTCAAGGAGTTTAACCTTTCTTTTGATGGAGCAGTTTGGAAACACTCTGTCTGTAAAGTCTGCAAGCAGATGTTTGGACCTCTTTGAGGCCTTCGTTGGAAACGGGATTTCTTCATATAATGTTTGATAGGAGAAGTCTCAGTAACTTCTTTGTGCTGTGTGTATTCAACTCATAGAGTTGAAATTTCCTTTAGAAGAGCAGATCTTAAACACCCTTTTTGTGGAATTTGCAGTTGGAGATTTCAAGCGCTTTGAGGACTACAGTAGAAAAGGAAACATCTTCTTATAAAATCTAGACAGAATCATTCACAGAAACTTCTTTTTGATGTGTGTGTTCAGCTCACCGAGTTTAACTTTTCTTTTGATGGAGCAGTTTGGAAACACTCTGCTTGTAATATCTGCAAGTGGATATTTGGACCTCTTTGAGGTCTTCCTTGGAAACGGGATTTCTTCAAGTAATGTTCGACAGAAGAATTCTCAGTAACTTATTTGTGGTGTGTGTATTCAACTCACAGAGTTGAACCTTCCTTTAGACAGAGCAGATTTGAAACACCCTATTTGTGCAGTTTCCAGTTGGAGATTTCAATCGCTTTGAGACCAAATGTAGAAAAGGAAACATCTTCGTATAAAAACTAGACAGAATCATTCTCAGAAACTACTTTGTAATGTGTGCGTTCAACTCAAGGAGTTTAAGCTTTCTTTTCATAGAGTAGTTTGGAAACACTCTGTCTGTAAAGTCTGCAAGCAGATATTTGGACCTCTTTGGGGCCTTCGTTGGAAACGGGATTTCTTCATAGAACGCTAGAAAGAAGAATACTGAGTAAGTTCTTTGTGTTGCCTCTATTCAACTCACAGAGGTGAACTGTCCTTTAGACAGAGCAGATGTGAAACCCTCTTTTTGTGATATTTGCAGGTGGAGATTTCAAGCGCTTTTAGGCCAAATGTAGAAAAGGAAATATCTTCGTATAAAAACTAGACAGAATCATTCTCAGAAACTACTTTGTGATGTGTGCGTTCAATTCACAGAGTATAACCTTTCTTTTGATGGAGGAGTTTGGAGACACTGTCTTTGTAAAGTCTGCAAGTGGATATTTGGACCTCTTTGAGGCCTTCGTTGGAAACGGGATTTCCTCATATGATGTTACACAGAAGAATTCTCACTAACTTATTTGTGGTGTGTGTATTCAACTCACAGAGATGAACCTTCCTTCAGAAAGAGCAGATTTGAAACACTCTTTTTTTGGAGTTTCCATGTGGAGATTTCAATCGCTTTGAGACCAAAGGTAGAAAAGGAAACATCTTCGTATAACAACTAGACAGAATCATTCACAGAAACTACTTTGTGATGTGTGTGTTCAACTCAAGGAGTTTAACCTTTCTTTTGATGGAGCAGTTTGGAAACACTCTGTCTGTAAAGTCTGCAAGCAGATATTTGGACCTCTTTGAGGCCTTCGTTGGAAACGGGATTTCTTCATATAATGTTTGATAGGAGAAGTCTCAGTAACTTCTTTGTGCTGTGTGTATTCAACTCATAGAGTTGAACTTTCCTTTAGAAGAGCAGATGTTAAACACCCTTTTTGTGGAATTTGCAGCTGGAGATTTCAAGCGCTTTGAGGCCTACGGTAGAAAAGGAAACATCTTCTTATAAAATCTAGACAGAATCATTCACAGAAACTTCTTTTTCATGTGTGTGTTCAGCTCACAGAGTTTAATCTTTCTTTTGATGGAACAGTTTGGAAACACTCTGTTTGTAATGTCTGCAAGTGGATATTTGGACCTCTTTGAGGCCTTCGTTGGAAACGGGATTTCTTCATATAATGTTTGATAGGAGGATTCTCAGTAACTTATTTGTGGTGTGTGTATTCAACTCACAGAGTTGAACCTTCCTTTAGACAGAGCAGATTTAAAACAGCCTATTTGTGCAGTTTCCAGTTGGAGATTTCAAGAGCTTTGAGACCAAATGTAGAAAAGGAAACATCTTCGTATAAAAACTAGACAGAATCATTCTCAGAAACTACTTTGTGATGTGTGCGTTCAACTCAAGGAGTTTAAGCTTTCTTTTCATAGAGTAGTTTGGAAACACTCTGTCTGTAAAGTCTGCAAGCAGATATTTGACCTCTTTGAGGCCTTCGTTGGAAACGGGATTTCTTCATAGAACGCTAGAAAGAAGAATACTGAGTAAGTTCTTTGTGTTGCCTCTATTCAACTCACAGAGGTGAACTGTCCTTTAGACAGAGCAGATGTGAAACCCTCTTTTTGTGATATTTGCAGGTGGAGATTTCAAGCGCTTTTAGGCCAAATGTAGAAAAGGAAATATCTTCGTATAAAAACTAGACAGAATCATTCTCAGAAACTACTTTGTGATGTGTGCGTTCAATTCACAGAGTATAACCTTTCTTTTGATGGAGGAGTTTGGAGACACTGTCTTTGTAAAGTCTGCAAGTGGATATTTGGACCTCTTTGAGGCCTTCGTTGGAAACGGGATTTCCTCATATAATGTTACACAGAAGAATTCTCAGTAACTTATTTGTGGTGTGTGTATTCAACTCACAGAGTTGAACCTTCCTTCAGAAAGAGCAGATTTGAAACACTCTTTTTGTGGAGTTTCCATGTGGAGATTTCAATCGCATTGAGACCAAAGGTAGAAAAGGAAACATCTTCGTATAAAAACTAGACAGAATCATTCACAGAAACTACTTTGTGATGTGTGTGTTCAACTCAAGGAGTTTAACCTTTCTTTTGATGGAGCAGTTTGGAAACACTCTGTCTGTAATGTCTGCAAGCAGATATTTGGACCTCTTTGAGGCCTTCGTTGGAAACGGTATTTCTTCATATAATGTTTGATAGGAGAAGTCTCAGTAACTTCTTTGTGCTGTGTGTATTCAACTCATAGAGTTGAACTTTCCTTTAGAAGAGCAGATGTTAAACACCCTTTTTGTGGAATTTGCAGCTGGAGATTTCAAGCGCTTTGAGGCCTACGGTAGAAAAGGAAACATCTTCTTATAAAATCTAGACAGAATCATTCACAGAAACTTCTTTTTGATGTGTGTGTTCAGCTCACAGAGTTTAACCTTTCTTTTGATGGAGCAGTTGGGAAACACACTGTTTGTAATGTCTGCAAGTGGATATTTGGACCTCTTTGAGGCCTTCGTTGGAAACGGGATTTCTTCCTGTAATGTTCGACAGAAGAATTCTCAGTAACTTATTTGTGGTGTGTGTATTCAACTCACAGAGTTGAACCTTCCTTTAGACAGAGCAGGTTTGAAACACTCTATTTGTGCAGTTTCCAGTTGGAGATTTCAATCGCTTTGAGGCCAATCGTAGAAACGGAAATATCTTCGTATATAAACAAGACAGAATCATTCTCAGAAACTACTTTGTGATGTGTGCGTTCAACTCAAGGAGTTTAAGCTTTCTTTTCATAGAGTAGTTTGGAAACACTCTGTCTGTAAAGTCTGCAAGCAGATATTTGACCTCTTTGAGGCCTTCGTTGGAAACGGGATTTCTTCATAGAACGCTAGAAAGAAGAATACTGAGTAAGTTCTTTGTGTTGCCTCTATTCAACTCACAGAGGTGAACTGTCCTTCAGACAGAGCAGATGTGAAACCCTCTTTTTGTGATATTTGCAGGTGGAGATTTCAAGCGCTTTTAGGCCAAATGTAGAAAAGGAAATATCTTCGTATAAAAACTAGACAGAATCATTCTCAGAAACTACTTTGTGATGTGTGCGTTCAATTCACAGAGTATAACCTTTCTTTTGATGGAGGAGTTTGGAGACACTGTCTTTGTAAAGTCTGCAAGTGGATATTTGGACCTCTTTGAGGCCTTCGTTGGAAACGGGATTTCCTCATATAATGTTACACAGAAGAATTCTCAGTAACTTATTTGTGGTGTGTGTATTCAACTCACAGAGATGAACCTTCCTTCAGAAAGAGCAGATTTGAAACACTCTTTTTGTGGAGTTTCCATGTGGAGATTTCCAATCGCTTTGAGACCAAAGGTAGAAAAGGAAACATCTTCGTATAACAACTAGACAGAATCATTCACAGAAACTACTTTGTGATGTGTGTGTTCAACTCAAGGAGTTTAACCTTTCTTTTGATGGAGCAGTTTGGAAACACTCTGTCTGTAAAGTCTGCAAGCAGATATTTGGACCTCTTTGAGGCCTTCGTTGGAAACGGGATTTCTTCATATAATGTTTGATAGGAGAAGTCTCAGTAACTTCTTTGTGCTGTGTGTATTGAACTCATAGAGTTGAACTTTCCTTTAGAAGAGCAGATGTTAAACACCCTTTTTGTGTAATTTGCAGCTGGAGATTTCAAGCGCTTTGAGGCCTACGGTAGAAAAGGAAACATCTTCTTATAAAATCTAGACAGAATCATTCACAGAAACTACTTTGTGATGTGTGTCTTCAGCTCACAGAGTTTAACCTTTCTTTTGATGGTGCAGTTTGGAAACACTCCGTTTGACAAGTCTGCAAGTGGATATTTGGACCTCTTTGAGGCCTTCGTTGGAAACGGGATTTCTTCATATAATGTTAGACAGAAGAATTCTCAGTAACTTATTTGTGGTGTGTGTATTCAACTCACAGAGTTGACCCTTCCTTTAGACAGATCAGATTTGAAACTCCCTATTTGTGCAGTTTCCAGTTGGAGATTTCAATTGCTTTGAGACCAAATGTAGAAAAGGAAACATCTTCGTATAAAAACTAGACAGAATCATTCTCAGAAACTACTTTGTGATGTGTGCGTTCAACTCAAGGAGTTTAAGCTTTCTTTTCATAGAGTAGTTTGGAAACACTCTGTCTGTAAAGTCTGCAAGCAGATATTTGGACCTCTTTGAGGCCTTCGTTGGAAACGGGATTTCTTCATAGAACGGTAGAAAGAAGAATACTAAGTTCTTTGTGTTGCCTCTATTCTACTCACAGAGGAGAACTGTCCTTTAGACAGAGCAGATGTGAAACCCTCTTTTTGGGATATTTGCAGGTGGAGATTTCAAGTGCTTTTAGGCCAAATGTAGAAAAGGAAATATCTTCGTATAAAAACTAGACAGAATCATTCTCAGAAACTACTTTGTGATGTGTGCGTTCAATTCACAGAGTATAACCTTTCTTTTGATGGAGGAGTTTGGAGACACTGTCTTTGTAAAGTCTGCAAGTGGATATTTGGACCTCTTTGAGGCCTTCGTTGGAAACGGGATTTCCTCATATAATGTTACACAGAAGAATTCTCAGTAACATATTTGTGGTGTGTGTATTCAACTCACAGAGTTGAACCTTCCTTCAGAAATAGCAGATTTGAAACACTCTTTTTGTGGAGTTTCCATGTGGAGATTTCAATCGCTTTGAGACCAAAGGTAGAAAAGGAAACATCTTCGTATACAAACTAGACAGAATCATTCACAGAAACTACTTTGTGATATGTGTGTTCAACTCAAGGAGTTTAACCTTTCTTTTGATGGAGCAGTTTGGAAACACTCTGTCTGTAAAGTCTGCAAGCAGATATTTGGACCTCTTTGAGGCCTTCGTTGGAAACGGAATTTCTTCATATAATGTTTGATAGGAGAAGTCTCAGTAACTTCTTTGTGCTGTGTGTATTCAACTCATAGAGTTGAACTTTCCTTTAGAAGAGCAGATGTTAAACACCCTTTTTGTGGAATTTGCAGCTGGAGATTTCAAGCGCTTTGAGGCCTACGGTAGAAAAGGAAACATCTTCTTATAAAATCTAGACAGAATCATTCACAGAAACTTCTTTTCGATGTGTGTGTTCAGCTCACAGAGTTTAACCTTTCTTTTGATGGAGCAGTTTGGAAACACTCTGTTTGTAATGTCTGCAAGTGGATATTTGGACCTCTTTGAGGCCTTCGTTGGAAACGGGATTTCTTCAAGTAATGTTCGACAGAAGAATTCTCAGTAACTTATTTGTGGTGTGTGTATTCAACTCACAGATTTGAACCTTCCTTTAGACCGAGCAGATTTGAAACACCCTATTTGTGCAGTTTCCAGTTGGAGATTTCAATCGCTTTGAGACCAAATGTAGAAAAGGAAACATCTTCGTATAAAAACTAGACAGAATCATTCTCAGAAACTACTTTGTGATGTGTGCGTTCAACTCAAGGAGTTTAAGCTTTCTTTTCATAGAGTAGTTTGGAAACACTCTGTCTGTAAAGTCTGCAAGCAGATATTTGCACCTCATTGGGGCCTTCGTTGGAAACGGGATTTCTTCACAGAACGCTAGAAAGAAGAATACTGAGTAAGTTCTTTGTGTTGCCTCTATTCAACTCACAGAGGTGAACTGTCCTTTAGACAGAGCAGATGTGAAACCCTATTTTTGTGATATTTGCAGGTGGAGATTTCAAGCGCTTTTAGGCCAAATGTAGAAAAGGAAATATCTTCGTAAAAAAAGTAGACAGAATCATTCTCAGAAACTACTTTGTGATGTGTGCGTTCAATTCACAGAGTATAACCTTTCTTTTGAGGGAGGAGTTTGGTGACACTGTCTTTGTAAAGTCTGCAAGTGGATATTTGGACCTCTTTGAGGCCTTCGTTGGAAATGGGATTTCCTCATATAATGTCACACAGAAGAATTCTCAGTAACTTATTTGTGGTGTGTTTATTCAACTCACAGAGTTGAACCTTCCTTCAGAAAGAGCAGATTTCAAACACACTTTTTGTGGAGTTTCCATGTGGAGATTTCAATCGCATTGAGACCAAAGGTAGAAAAGGAAACATCTTCGTATAAAATCTAGACAGAATCATTCACAGAAACTTCTTTTTCATGTGTGTGTTCAGCTCACAGAGTTTAATCTTTCTTTTGATGGAACAGTTTGGAAACACTCTGTTTGTAATGTCTGCAAGTGGATATTTGGACCTCTTTGAGGCCTTCGTTGGAAACGGGATTTCTTCATATAATGTTTGATAGGAGAATTCTCAGTAACTTATGTGTGGTGTGTGTATTCAACTCACAGAGTTGAACCTTCCTTTAGACAGAGCAGATTTGAAACACCCTATTTGTGCAGTTTCCAGTTGGAGATTTCAATCGCTTTGAGACCAAATGTAGAAAAGGAAACATCTTCGTATAAAAACTAGACAGAATCATTCTCAGAAACTACTTTGTGATGTGTGCGTTCAACTCAAGGAGTTTAAGCTTTCTTTTCATAGAGTAGTTTGGAAACACTCTGTCTGTAAAGTCTGCAAGCAGATATTTGGACCTCTTAGGGGCCTTCGTTGGAAACGGGATTTCTTCATAGAATGCTAGAAAGAAGAATACTGAGTACGTTCTTTGTGTTGCCTCTATTCAACTCACAGAGGTGAACTGTCCTTTAGACAGAGCAGATGTGAAACCCTCTTTTTGTGATATTTGCAGGTGGAGATTTCAAGCGCTTTTAGGCCAAATGTAGAAAAGGAAATATCTTCGTATAAAAACTAGACAGAATCATTCTCAGAAACTACTTTGTGATGTGTGCGTTCAATTCACAGAGTATAACCTTTCTTTTGATGGAGGAGTTTCGAGACACTGTCTTTGTAAAGTCTGCAAGTGGATATTTGGACCTCTTTGAGGCCTTCGTTGGAAACGGGATTTCCTCATATAATGTTACACAGAAGAATTCTCAGTAACTTATTTGTGGTGTGTGTATTCAACTCACAGAGTTGGACCTTCCTTCAGAAAGAGCAGATTTGAAACACTCTTTTTGTGGAGTTTCCATGTGGAGATTTCAATCGCTTTGAGACCAAAGGTAGAAAAGGAAACATCTTCGTATAAAAACTAGACAGAATCATTCACAGAAACTACTTTGTGATGTGTGTGTTCAACTCAAGGAGTTTAACCTTTCTTTTGATGGAGCAGTTTGGAAACACTCTGTCTGTAAAGTCTGCAGGCAGATATTTGGACCTCTTTGAGGCCTTCGTTGGAAACGGGATTTCTTCATATAATGTTAGACAGAAGAAGTCTCAGTAACTTCTTTGTGCTGTGTGTATTCAACTCATAGAGTTGAACTTTCCTTTAGAAGAGCAGATGTTAAACACCCTTTTTGTGGAATTTGCAGCTGGAGATTTCAAGCGCTTTGAGGCCTACGGTAGAAAAGGAAACATCTTCTTATAAAATCTAGACAGAATCATTCACAGAAACTTCTTTTCGATGTGTGTGTTCAGCTCACAGAGTTTAACCTTTCTTTTGATGGAGCAGTTTGGAAACACTCTGTTTGTAATGTCTGCAAGTGGATATTTGGACCTCTTTGAGGCCTTCGTTGGAAACGGGATTTCTTCAAGTAATGTTCGACAGAAGAATTCTCAGTAACTTATTTGTGGTGTGTGTATTCAACTCACAGAGTTGAACATTCCTTTAGACAGAGCAGATTTGAAACACCCTATTTGTGCAGTTTCCAGTTGGAGATTTCAATCGCTTTGAGACCAAATGTAGAAAAGGAAACATCTTCGTATAAAAACTAGACAGAATCATTCTCAGAAACTACTTTGTGATGTGTGCGTTCAACTCAAGGAGTTTAAGCTTTCTTTTCATAGAGTAGTTTGGAAACACTCTGTCTGTAAAGTCGGCAAGCAGATATTTGGACCTCTTTGTGGCCTTCGTTGGAAACGGGATTTCTTCATAGAATGCTAGAAAGAAGAATACTGAGTAAGTTCTTTGTGTTGCCTCTATTCAACTCACAGAGGTGAACTGTCCTTTAGACAGAGCAGATGTGAAACCCTCTTTTTGTGATATTTGCACGTGGAGATTTCAAGCGCTTTTAGGCCAAATGTAGAAAAGGAAATATCTTCGTATAAAAACTAGACAGAATCATTCTCAGAAACTACTTTGTGATGTGTGCGTTCAATTCACAGAGTATAACCTTTCTTTTGATGGAGGAGTTTGGAGACACTGTCTTTGTAAAGTCTGCATGTGGATATTGGGACCTCTTTGAGGCCTTCGTTGGAAACGGGATTTCCTCATATAATGTTACACAGAAGAATTCTCAGTAACTTATTTGTGGTGTGTGTATTCAACTCACAGAGTTGAACCTTCCTTCAGAAAGAGCAGATTTGAAACACTCTTTTTGTGGAGTTTCCATGTGGAGATTTCAATCGCTTTGAGACCAAAGGTAGAAAAGGAAACATCTTCGTATAAAAACTAGACAGAATCATTCACAGAAACTACTTTGTGATGTGTGTGTTCAACTCAAGGAGTTTAACCTTTCTTTTGATGGAGCAGTTTGGAAACACTCTGTCTGTAAAGTCTGCAAGCAGATATTTGGACCTCTTTGAGGCCTTCGTTGGAAACGGGATTTCTTCATATAATGTTTGATAGGAGAAGTCTCAGTAACTTCTTTGTGCTGTGTGTATTCAACTCATGGAGTTGAACTTTCCTTTAGAAGAGCAGATGTTAAACACCCTTTTTGTGGAATTTGCAGCTGGAGATTTCAAGCGCTTTGAGGCCTACGGTAGAAAAGGAAACATCTTCTTCTAAAGTCTAGACAGAATCATTCACAGAAACTTCTTTTTGATGTGTGTGTTCAGCTCACAGAGTTTAACCTTTCTTTTGATGGAGCAGTTTGGAAACACTCTGTTTGTAACGTCTGCAAGTGGATATTTGGACCTCTTTGAGGCCTTCGTTGGAAACGGGATTTCTTCAAGTAATGTTCGACAGAAGAATTCTCAGTAACTTATTTGTGGTGTGTGTATTCAACTCACAGAGTTGAACCTTCCTTTAGACAGAGCAGATTTGAAACACCCTATTTGTGCAGTTTCCAGTTGGAGATTTCAATCGCTTTGAGACCAAATGTAGAAAAGGAAACATCTTCGTATAAAAACTAGACAGAATCATTCTCAGAAACTACTTTGTGATGTGTGCGTTCAACTCAAGGAGTTTAAGCTTTCTTTTCATAGAGTAGTTTGGAAACACTCTGTCTGTAAAGTCTGCAAGCAGATATTTGGACCTCTTTGGGGCCTTCGTTGGAAACGGGATTTCTTCATAGAACGCTAGAAAGAAGAATACTGAGTAAGTTCTTTGTGTTGCCTCTATTCAACTCACAGAGGTGAACTGTCCTTTAGACAGAGCAGATGTGAAACCCTCTTTTTGTGATATTTCCAGGTGGAGATTTCAAGCGCTTTTAGGCCAAATGTAGAAAAGGAAATATCTTCGTATAAAAACTAGACAGAATCCTTCTCAGAAACTACTTTGTGATGTGTGAGTTCAATTCACAGAGTATAACCTTTCTTTTGATGGAGGAGTTTGGAGACACTGTCTTTGTAAAGTCTGCATGTGGATATTGGGACCTCTTTGAGGCCTTCGTTGGAAATGGGATTTCCTCATATAATGTTACACAGAAGAATTCTCAGTAACTCATTTGTGGTGTGTGTATTCAACTCACAGAGTTGAACCTTCCTTCAGAAAGAGCAGATTTGAAACACTCTTTTTGTGGAGTTTCCATGTGGAGATTTCAATCGCTTTGAGACCAAAGGTAGAAAAGGAAACATCTTCGTATAAAAACTAGACAGAATCATTCACAGCAAACTACTTTGTGATGTGTGTGTTCAAGTCAAGGAGTTTAACCTTTCTTTTGATGGAGCAGTTTGGAAACACTCTGTCTGTAAAGTCTGCAAGCAGATATTTGGACCTCTTTGAGGCCTTCGTTGGAAACGGGATTTCTTCATATAATGTTAGATAGGAGAAGTCTCAGTAACTTCTTTGTGCTGTGTGTATTCAACTCATAGAGTTGAACTTTCCTTTAGAAGAGCAGATGTTAAACACCCTTTTTGTGGAATTTGCAGCTGGAGATTTCAAGCGCTTTGAGGCCTACGGTAGAAAAGGAAACATCTTCTTATAAAATCTAGACATAATCATTCACAGAAACTACTTTTTGATGTGTGTGTTCAGCTCACAGAGTTTAACCTTTCTTTTGATGGAGTAGTTTGGAAACACACTGTTTGTAATGTCTGCAAGTGGATATTTGGACCTCTTTGAGGCCTTCGTTGGAAACGGGATTTCTTCATGTAATGTTCGACAGAAGAATTCTCAGTAACTTATTTGTGGTGTGTGTATTCAACTCACAGAGTTGAACCTTCCTTTAGACAGAGCAGATTTGAAACACCCTATTTGTGCAGTTTCCAGTTGGAGATTTCAATCGCTTTGAGGCCAATCATAGAAACAGAAATAACTTTGTATAAAAACAAGACAGAATCATTCTCAGAAACTACTTTGTGATGTGTGCGTTCAACTCAAGGAGTTTAAGCTTTCTTTTCATAGAGTAGTTTGGAAACACTCTGTCTGTAAAGTCTGCAAGCAGATATTTGGACCTCTTTGAGGCCTTCGTTGGAAACGGGATTTCTTCATAGAACGCTAGAAAGAAGAATACTGAGTAAGTTCTTTGTGTTGCCTCTATTCAACTCACAGAGGTGAACTGTCCTTTAGACAGAGCAGATGTGAAACCCTCTTTTTGTGATATTTGCAGGTGGAGATTTCAAGCGCTTTTAGGCCAAATGTAGAAAAGGAAATATCTTCGTATAAAAACTAGACAGAATCATTCTCAGAAACTACTTTGTGATGTGTGCATTCAATTCACAGAGTATAACCTTTCTTTTGATGGAGGAGTTTGGAGACACTGTCTTTGTAAAGTCTGCAAGTGGATATTTGGACCTCTTTGAGGCCTTCGTTGGAAACGGGATTTCCTCATATAATGTTACACAGAAGAATTCTCAGTAACTTATTTGTGGTGTGTGTATTCAACTCACAGAGTTGAACCTTCCTTCAGAAAGAGCAGATTTGAAACACTCTTTTTGTGGAGTTTCCATGTGGAGATTTCAATCGCTTTGAGACCAAAGGTAGAAAAGGAAACATCTTCGTATAAAAACTAGACAGAATCATTCACAGAAACTACTTTGTGATGTGTGTGTTCAACTCAAGGAGTTTAACCTTTCTTTTGATGGAGCAGTTTGGAAACACTCTGTCTGTAAAGTCTGCAAGCAGATATTTGGACCTCTTTGAGGCCTTCGTTGGAAACGGGATTTCTTCATATAATGTTTGATAGGAGAAGTCTCAGTAACTTCTTTGTGCTGTGTGTATTCAACTCATAGAGTTGAACTTTCCTTTAGAAGAGCAGATGTTAAACACCCTTTTTGTGGAATTTGCAGCTGGAGATTTCAAGCGCTTTGAGGCCTACGGTAGAAAAGGAAACATCTTCTTATAAAATCTAGACAGAATCATTCACAGAAACTTCTTTTTGATGTGTGTGTTCAGCTCACAGAGTTTAACCTTTCTTTTGATGGAGCAGTTTGGAAACACTCTGTTTGTAATGTCTGCAAGTGGATATTTGGACCTCTTTGAGGCCTTCGTTGGAAACGGGATTTCTTCATGTAATGTTCGACAGAAGAATTCTCAGTAACTTATTTGTGGTGTGTGTATTCAACTCACAGAGTTGAACCATCCTTTAGACAGAGCAGATTTGAAACACCCTATTTGTGCAGTTTCCAGTTGGAGATTTCAATCGCTTTGAGACCAAATGTAGAAAAGGAAACATCTTCGTATAAAAACTAGACAGAATCATTCTCAGAAACTACTTTGTGATGTGTGCGTTCAACTCAAGGAGTTTAAGCTTTCTTTTCATAGAGTAGTTTGGAAACACTCTGTCTGTAAAGTCTGCAAGCAGATATTTGGACCACTTTGGGGCCTTCGTTGGAAACGGGATTTCTTCATAGAACGCTAGAAAGAAGAACACTGAGTAAGTTCTTTGTGATGCCTCTATTCAACTCACAGAGGTGAACTGTCTTTTAGACAGAGCAGATGTGAAAACCTCTTTTTGTGATATTTGCAGGTGGAGATTTCAAGCGCTTTTAGGCCAAATGTAGAAAAGGAAATATCTTCGTATAAAAACTAGACAGAATCATTCTCAGAAACTACTTTGTGATGTGTGCGTTCAATTCACAGAGTATAACCTTTCTTTTGATGGAGGAGTTTGGAGACACTCTCTTTGTAAAGTCTGCAAGTGGATATTTGGACCTCTTTGAGGCCTTCGTTGGAAACGGGATTTCCTCATATAATGTTACACAGAAGAATTCTCAGTAACTTATTTGTGGTGTGTGTATTGAACTCACAGAGATGAACCTTCCTTCAGAAAGAGCAGATTTGAAACACTCTTTTTGTGGAGTTTCCATGTGGAGATTTCAATCGCTTTGAGACCAAAGGTAGAAAAGGAAACATCTTCGTATAACAACTAGACAGAATCATTCACAGAAACTACTTTGTGATGGGTGTGTTCAACTCAAGGAGTTTAACCTTTCTTTTGATGGAGCAGTTTGGAAACACTCTGTCTGTAAAGTCTGCAAGCAGATATTTGGACCTCTTTGAGGCCTTCGTTGGAAACGGGATTTCTTCATATAATGTTTGATAGGAGAAGTCTCAGTAACTTCTTTGTGCTGTGTGTATTCAACTCATAGAGTTGAACTTTCCTTTAGAAGAGCAGATGTTAAACACCCTTTTTGTGGAATTTGCAGCTGGAGATTTCAAGCGCTTTGAGGCCTACGGTAGAAAAGGAAACATCTTCTTATAAAATCTAGACAGAATCATTCACAGAAACTTCTTTTCGATGTGTGTGTTCAGCTCACAGAGTTTAACCTTTCTTTTGATGGAGCAGTTTGGAAACACTCTGTTTGTAATGTCTGCAAGTGGATATTTGGACCTCTTTGAGGCCTTCGTTGGAAACGGGATTTCTTCAAGTAATGTTCGACAGAAGAATTCTCAGTAAGTTATTTGTGGTGTGTGTATTCAACTCACAGAATTGAACCTTCCTTTAGACAGAGCAGATTTGAAACACCCTATTTGTGCAGTTTCCAGTTGGAGATTTCAATCGCTTGGAGGCCAATCATAGAAACGGAAATATCTTCGTATAAAAACAAGACAGAATCATTCTCAGAAACTACTTTGTGATGTGTGCGTTCAACTCAAGGAGTTTAAGCTTTCTTTTCATAGAGTAGTTTGGAAACACTCTGTCTGTAAAGTCTGCAAGCAGATATTTGGACCTCTTTGGGGCCTTCGTTGGAAACGGGATTTCTTCATAGAACGCTAGAAAGAAGAATACTGAGTAAGTTCTTTGTGTTGCCTCTATTCAACTCACAGAGGTGAACTGTCCTATAGACAGAGCAGATGTGAAACCCTCTTTTTGTGATATTTGCAGGTGGAGATTTCAAGCGCTTTTAGGCCAAATGTAGAAAAGGAAATATCTTCGTATAAAAACTAGACAGAATCATTCTCAGAAACTACTTTGTGATGTGTGCGTTCAATTCACAGAGTATAACCTTTCTTTTGATGGAGGAGTTTGGAGACACTGTCTTTGTAAAGTCTGCAAGTGGATATTTGGACCTCTTTGAGGCCTTCGTTGGAAACGGGATTTCCTCATATAATGTTACCCAGAAGAATTCTCAGTAACTTATTTGTGGTGTGTGTATTCAACTCACAGAGTTGAACCTTCCTTCAGAAAGAGCAGATTTGAAACACTCTTTTTGTGGAGTTTCATGTGGAGATTTCAATCGCTTTGAGACCAAAGGTAGAAAAGGAAACATCTTCGTATAAAAACTAGACAGAATCATTCACAGAAACTACTTTGTGATGTGTGTGTTCAACTCAAGGAGTTTAACCTTTCTTTTGATGGAGCAGTTTGGAAACACTCTGTCTGTAAAGTCTGCAAGCAGATATTTGGACCTCTTTGAGGCCTTCGTTGGAAACGGGATTTCTTCATATAATGTTTGATAGGAGAAGTCTCAGTAACTTCTTTGGGCTGTGTGTATTCAACTCATTGAGTTGAACTTTCCTTTAGAAGAGCAGATGTTAAACACCCTTTTTGTGGAATTTGCAGCTGGAGATTTCAAGCACTTTGAGGCCTACGGTACAAAAGGAAACATCTTCTTATAAAATCTAGACAGAATCATTCACAGAAACTTCTTTTTGATGTGTGTGTTCAGCTCACAGAGTTTAACCTTTCTTTTGATGGAGCAGTTTGGAAACACTCTGTTTGTAATGTCTGCAAGTGGATATTTGGACCTCTTTGAGGCCTTCGCTGGAAACGGGATTTCTTCCTGTAATGTTCGACAGAAGAATTCTCAGTAACTTATTTGTGGTGTGTGTATTCAACTCACAGAGTTGAACCTTCCTTTAGACAGAGCAGATTTGAAACACCCTATTTGTGCAGTTTCCAGTTGGAGATTTCAATCGCTTTGAGACCAAATGTAGAAAAGGAAACATCTTCGTATAAAAACTAGACAGAATCATTCTCAGAAACTACTTTGTGATGTGTGCGTTCAACTCAAGGAGTTTAAGCTTTCTTTTCATAGAGTAGTTTGGAAACACTCTGTCTGTAAAGTCTGCAAGCAGATATTTGGACCTCTTTGAGGCCTTCGTTGGAAACGGGATTTCTTCATAGAACGCTAGAAAGAAGAATACTGAGTAAGTTCTTTGTGTTGCCTCTATTCAACTCACAGAGGTGAACTGTCCTTTAGACAGAGCAGATGTGAAACCCTCTTTTTGTGATATTTGCAGGTGGAGATTTCAAGCGCTTTTAGGCCAAATGTAGAAAAGGAAATATCTTCTTATAAAAACTAGACAGAATCATTCTCAGAAACTACTTTGTGATGTGTGCGTTCAATTCACAGAGTATAACCTTTCTTTGATGGAGGAGTTTGGAGACACTGTCTTTGTAAAGTCTGCAAGTGGATATTTGGACCTCTTTGAGGCCTTCGTTGGAAACGGGATTTCCTCATATAATGTTACACAGAAGAATTCTCAGTAACTTATTTGTGGTGTGTGTATTCAACTCACAGAGTTGAACCTTCCTTCAGAAAGAGCAGATTTGAAACACTCTTTTTGTGGAGTTTCCATGTGGAGATTTCAATCGCTTTGAGACCAAAGGTAGAAAAGGAAACATCTTCGTATAAAAACTAGACAGAATCATTCACAGAAACTACTTTGTGATGTGTGTGTTCAACTCAAGGAGGTTAACCTTTCTTTTGATGGAGCAGTTTTGAAACACTCTGTCTGTAACGTCTGCAAGCAGATATTTGGACCTCTTTGAGGCCTTCGTTGGAAACGGGATTTCTTCATATAATGTTTGATAGGAGAAGTGTCAGTAACTTCTTTGTGCTGTGTGTATTCAACTCATAGAGTTGAACTTTCCTTTAGAAGAGCAGATGTTAAACACCCTTTTTGTGGAATTTGCAGCTGGAGATTTCAAGCGCTTTGAGGCCTACGGTAGAAAAGGAAACATCTTCTTATAAAATCTAGACAGAATGATTCTCAGAAACTACTTTGTGATGTGTGCGTTCAACTCAAGGAGTTTAAGCTTTCTTTTCATAGAGTAGTTTGGAAACACTCTGTCTGTAAAGTCTGCAAGCAGATATTTGGACCTCTTTGAGGCCTTCGTTGGAAACGGGATTTCTTCAAGTAATGTTCGACAGAAGAATTCTCAGTAACTTATTTGTGGTGTGTGTATTCAACTCACAGAGTTGAACCTTCTTTACACAGAGCAGATTTGATACACCCTATTTGTGCAGTTTCCAGTTGGAGATTTCAATCGCTTTGAGACCAAATGTAGAAAAGGAAACATCTTCGTATAAAAACTAGACAGAATCATTCTCAGAAACTCTTTGTGATGTGTGCGTTCAACTCAAGGAGTTTAAGCTTTCTTTTCATAGAGTAGTTTGGAAACACTCTGTCTGTAAAGTGTGCAAGCAGATATTTGGACCTCTTTGAGGCCTTCGTTGGAAACGGGATTTCTTCATAGAACGCTAGATAGAAGAATACTGAGTAAGTTCTTTGTGTTGCCTCTATTCAACTCACAGAGGTGAACTGTCCTTTAGACAGAGCAGATGTGAAACCCTCTTTTTGTGATATTTGCAGGTGGAGATTTCAAGCGCTTTTAGGCCAAATGTAGAAAAGGAAATATCTTCGTATAAAAACTAGACAGAATCATTCTCAGAAACTACTTTCTGATGTGTGCGTTCATTTCACAGAGTATAACCTTTCTTTTGATGGAGGAGTTTGGAGACACTGTGTTTCTAAAGTCTGCAAGTGGATATTTGGACCTCTTTGAGGCCTTCGTTGGAAACGGGATTTCCTCATATAATGTTACACAGAAGAATTCTCAGTAACTTATTTGTGGTGTGTTTATTCAAATCACAGAGGTGAACCTTACTTCAGAAAGAGCAGATTTGAAACCCTCTTTTTGTGGAGTTTCCATGTGGAGATTTCAATCGCTTTGAGACCAAAGGTAGAAAAGGAAACATCTTCGTATAAAAACTAGACAGAATCATTCACAGAAACTACTTTGTGATGGGTGTGTTCAACTCAAGGAGTTTAACCTTTCTTTTGATGGAGCAGTTTGGAAACACTCTGTCTGTAAAGTCTGCAAGCAGATATTTGGACCTCTTTGAGGCCTTCGTTGGAAACGGGATTTCTTCATATAATGTTTGATAGGAGAAGTCTCAGTAACTACTTTGTGCTGTGTTTATTCAACTCATAGAGTTGAACTTTCCTTTAGAAGAGCAGATGTTAAACACCCTTTTTGTGGAATTTGCAGCTGTAGAAAAGGAAACATCTTCTTATAAAATCTAGACAGAATCATTCACAGAAACTTCTTTTCAATGTGTGTGTTCAGCTCACAGAGTTTAACCTTTCTTTTGATGGAGCAGTTTGGAAACACTCTGTAATGTCTGCAAGTGGATATTTGGACCTCTTTGAGGCCTTCGTTGGAAACGGGATTTCTTCATGTAATGTTCGACAGAAGAATTCTCAGTAACTTATTTGTGGTGTGTGTATTCAACTCACAGAGTTGAACCTTCCTTTAGACAGAGCAGATTTAAAACAGCCTATTTGTGCAGTTTCCAGTTGGAGATTTCAAGAGCTTTGAGACCAAATGTAGAAAAGGAAACATCTTCGTATAAAAACTAGACAGAATCATTCTCAGAAACTACTTTGTGATGTGTGCGTTCAACTCACGGAGTTTAAGCTTTCTTTTCATAGAGTAGTTTGGAAACACTCTGTCTGTAAAGTCTGCAAGCAGATATTTGGACCTCTTTGAGGCCTTCGTTGGAAACGGGATTTCTTCATATAACGCTAGAAAGAAGAATACCCAGTAACTTCTTTGTGTTGCCTCTATTCAACTCACAGAGGGGAACTGTCCTTTAGACAGAGCAGATGTGAAACCCTCTTTTTGTGATATTTGCAGGTGGAGATTTCAAGCGCTTTTGGGCAAAATGTAGAAAAGGAAATATCTTCGTATAAAAACTAGACAGAATCATTCTCAGAAACTACTTTGTGATGTGTGAGTTCAATTCACAGAGTATAACCTTTCTTTTGATGGAAGAGTTTGGAGACACTGTCTTTGTAAAGTCTGCAAGTGGATATTTGGACCTCTTTGAGGCCTTCGTTGGAAACGGGATTTCCTCATATAATGTTACACAGAAGAATTCTCAGTAACTTATTTGTGGTGTGTGTATTCAACTCACAGAGTTGAACCTTCCTTCAGAAAGAGCAGATTTGAAACACTCTTTTTGTGGAGTTTCCATGTGGAGATTTCAATCGCTTTGAGACCAAAGGTAGAAAAGGAAACATCTTCGTATAAAAACTAGACAGAATCATTCACAGAAACTACTTTGTGATGTGTGTGTTCAACTCAAGGAGTTTAACCTTTCTTTTGATGGAGCAGTTTGGAAACACTCTGTCTGTAAAGTCTGCAAGCAGATATTTGGACCTCTTTGAGGCCTTCGTTGGAAACGGGATTTCTTCATATAATGTCTGATAGGAGAAGTCTCAGTAACATCTTTGTGCTGTGTGTATTCAACTCATAGAGTTGAACTTTCCTTTAGAAGAGCAGATGTAAAACACCCTTTTTGTGGAATTTGCAGCTGGAGATTTCAAGCGCTTTGAGGCCTACAGTAGAAAAGGAAACATCTTCTTATAAAATCTAGACAGAATCATTCACAGAAACTTCTTTTTGATGTGTGTGTTCAGCTCACAGAGTTTAACCTTTCTGTTGATGGAGCAGTTTGGAAACACTCGGTTTGTAATGTCTGCAAGTGGATATTTGGACCTCTTTGAGGCCTTCGCTGGAAACGGGATTTCTTCAAGTAATGTTCGACAGAAGAATACTCAGTAACTTATTTGTGGTGTGTGTATTCAACTCACAGAGTTGAACCTTCCTTTAGACAGAGCAGATTTGAAACACCCTATTTGTGCAGTTTCCAGTTGGAGATTTCAATCGCTTTGAGACCAAATGTAGAAAAGGAAACATCTTCGTATAAAAACTAGACAGAATCATTCTCAGAAACTACTTTGTGATGTGTGTGTTCAACTCAAGGAGTTTAACCTTTCTTTTGATGGAGCAGTTTCGAAAAACTCTGTCTGTAAAGTCTGCAAGCAGATATTTGGACCTCTTTGGGGCCTTCGTTGGAAACGGGATTTCTTCATAGAATGCTAGAAAGAAGAATACTGAGTAAGTTCTTTGTGTTGCCTCTATTCAACTCACAGAGGTGAACTGTCCTTTAGACAGAGCAGATGTGAAACCCTCTTTTTGTGATATTTGCACGTGGAGATTTCAAGCGCTTTTAGGCCAAATGTAGAAAAGGAAATATCTTCGTATAAAAACTAGACAGAATCATTCTCAGAAACTACTTTGTGATGTGTGCGTTCAATTCACAGAGTATAACCTTTCTTTTGATGGAGGAGTTTGGAGACACTGTCTTTGTAAAGTCTGCAAGTGGATATTTGGACCTCTTTGAGGCCTTCGTTGGAAACGGGATTTCCTCATATAATGTTACACAGAAGAATTCTCAGTAACTTATTTGTGGTGTGTGTATTCAACTCACAGAGTTGAACCTTCCTTCACAAAGAGCAGATTTGAAACACTCTTTTTGTGGAGTTTCCATGTGGAGATTTCAATCGCTTTGAGACCAAAGGTAGAAAAGGAAACATCTTCGTATAAAAACTAGACAGAATCATTCACAGAAACTACTTTGTGATGTGTGTGTTCAACTCAAGGAGTTTAACCTTTCTTTTGATGGAGCAGTTTGGAAACACTCTGTCTGTAAAGTCTGCAAGCAGACATTTGGACCTCTTTGAGGCCTTCGTTGGAAACGGGATTTCTTCATATAATGTTTGATAGGAGAAGTCTCAGTAACTTCTTTGGGCTGTGTGTATTCAACTCATTGAGTTGAACTTTCCTTTAGAAGAGCAGATGTTAAACACCCTTTTTGTGGAATTTGCAGCTGGAGATTTCAAGCACTTTGAGGCCTACGGTAGAAAAGGAAACATCTTCTTATAAAATCTAGACAGAATCATTCACAGAAACTTCTTTTTGATGTGTGTGTTCAGCTCACAGAGTTTAACCTTTCTTTTGATGGAGCAGTTTGGAAACACTCTGTTTGTAATGTCTGCAAGTGGATATTAGGACCTCTTTGAGGCCTTCGTTGGAAACGGGATTTCTTCAAGTAATGTTCGACAGAAGAATTCTCAGTAACTTATTTGTGGTGTGTGTATTCAACTCACAGAGTTGAACCTTCCTTTAGACAGAGCAGATTTGAAACACCCTATTTGTGCAGTTTCCAGTTGGAGATTTCAATCGCTTTGAGACCAAATGTAGAAAAGGAAACATCTTCGTATAAAAACTAGACAGAATCATTCTCAGAAACTACTTTGTGATGTGTGCGTTCAACTCAAGGAGTTTAAGCTTTCTTTTCATAGAGTAGTTTGGAAACACTCTGTCTGTAAAGTCTGCAAGCAGATATTTGGACCTCTTTGAGGCCTTCGTTGGAAACGGGATTTCTTCATAGAACGGTAGAAAGAAGAATACTGAGTACGTTCTTTGTGTTGCCTCTATTCAACTCACAGAGGTGAACTGTCCTTTAGACAGAGCAGATGTGAAACCCTCTTTTTGTGATATTTGCAGGTGGAGATTTCAAGCGCTTTTAGGCCAAATGTAGAAAAGGAAATATCTTCGTATAAAAACTAGACAGAATCATTCTCAGAAACTACTTTGTGATGTGTGCGTTGAATTCACAGAGTATAACCTTTCTTTTCATGGAGGAGTTTGGAGACACTGTCTTTGTAAAGTCTGCAAGTGGATATTTGGACCTCTTTGAGGCCTTCGTTGGAAACGGGATTTCCTCATATAATGTTACACAGAAGAATTCTCAGTAACTTATTTGTGGTGTGTTTATTCAACTCACAGAGGTGAACCTTCCTTCAGAAAGAGCAGATTTGAAACACTCTTTTTGTGGAGTTTCCATGTGGAGATTTCAATCGCTTTGAGACCAAAGGTAGAAAAGGAAACATCTTCGTATAAAAACTAGACAGAATCATTCACAGAAACTACTTTGTGATGTGTGTGTTCAACTCAAGGAGTTTAACCTTTCTTTTGATGGAGCAGTTTGGAAACACTCTGTCTGTAAAGTCTGCAAGCAGATATTTGGACCTCTTTGAGGCCTTCGTTGGAAACGGGATTTCTTCATATAATGTTTGATAGGAGAAGTCTCAGTAACTTCTTTGTGCTGTGTGTATTCAACTCATAGAGTTGAACTTTCCTTTAGAAGAGCAGATGTTAAACACCCTTTTTGTGGAATTTGCAGCTGGAGATTTCAAGCGCTTTGAGGCCTACGGTAGAAAAGGAAACATCTTCTTATAAAATCTAGACAGAATCATTCACAGAAACTTCTTTTCGATGTGTGTGTTCAGCTCACAGAGTTTAACCTTTCTTTTGATGGAGCCGTTTGGAAACACTCTGTTTGTAATGTCTGCAAGTGGATATTTGGACCTCTTTGAGGCCTTCGTTGGAAACGGGATTTCTTCAAGTAATGTTCGACAGAAGAATTCTCAGTAACTTATTTGTGGTGTGTGTATTCAACTCACAGAGTTGAACCTTCCTTTAGACAGAGCAGATTTGAAACACCCTATTTGTGCAGTTTCCAGTTGGAGATTTCAATCGCTTTGAGGCCAATCATAGAAACGGAAAGATCTTCGTATAAAAACAAGACAGAATCATTCTCAGAAACTAGTTTGTGATGTGTGCGTTCAACTCAAGGATTTAAGCTTTCTTTTCATAGAGTAGTTTGGAAACACTCTGTCTGTAAAGTCTGCAAGCAGATATTTGGAACTCTTTGAGGCCTTCGTTGGAAACGGGATTTCTTCATATAACGCTAGAAAGAAGAATACTGAGTAAGTTCTTTGTGTTGCCTCTATTCAACTCACAGAGGTGAACTGTCCTTTAGACAGAGCAGATGTGAAACCCTCTTTTTGTGATATTTGCAGGTGGAGATTTCAAGCGCTTTTAGGCCAAATGTAGAAAAGGAAATATCTTCGTATAAAAACTAGACAGAATCATTCTCAGAAACTACTTTGTGATGTGTGCGTTCAATTCACAGAGTATAACCTTTCTTTTGATGGAGGAGTTTGGAGACACTGTCTTTGTAAAGTCTGCAAGTGGATATTTGGACCTCTTTGAGGCCTTCGTTGGAAACGGGATTTCCTCATATAATGTTACACAGAAGAATTCTCAGTAACTTATTTGTGGTGTGTTTATTCAACTCACAGAGTTGAACCTTCCTTCAGAAAGAGCAGATTTCAAACACACTTTTTGTGGAGTTTCCATGTGGAGATTTCAATCGCATTGAGACCAAAGGTAGAAAAGGAAACATCTTCGTATAAAATCTAGACAGAATCATTCACAGAAACTACTTTGTGATGTGTGTGTTCAACTCAAGGAGTTTAACCTTTCTTTTGATGGAGCAGTTTGGAAACACTCTGTCTGTAAAGTCTGCAAGCAGATATTTGGACCTCTTTGAGGCCTTCGTTGGAAACGGGATTTCTTCATATAATGTTTGATAGGAGAAGTCTCAGTAACTTCTTTGTGCTGTGTGTATTCAACTCATAGAGTTGAACTTTCCTTTAGAAGAGCAGATGTTAAACACCCTTTTTGTGGAATTTGCAGCTGGAGATTTCAAGCGCTTTGAGGCCTACGGTAGAAAAGGAAACATCTTCTTATAAAATCTAGACAGAATCATTCACAGAAACTTCTTTTTGATGTGTGTGTTCAGCTCACAGAATTTAACCTTTCTTTTGATGGAGCAGTTTGGAAACACTCTGTTTGTAATGTCTGCAAGTGGATATTTGGACCTCTTTGAGGCCTTCTTTGGAAACGGGATTTCTTCAAGTAATGTTCGACAGAAGAATTCTCAGTAACTTATTTGTGGTGTGTGTATTCAACTCACAGAGTTGAACCTTCCTTTAGACAGAGCAGATTTGAAACACCCTATTTGTGCAGTATCCAGTTGGAGATTTCAATCGCTTTGAGACCAAATGTAGAAAAGGAAACATCTTCGTATAAAAAGTAGACAGAATCATTCTCAGAAACTACTTTGTGATGTGTGCGTTCAACTCAAGGAGTTTAAGCTTTCTTTTCATAGAGTAGTTTGGAAACACTCTGTCTGTAAAGTCTGCAAGCAGATATTTGGACCTCATTGGGGCCTTCGTTGGAAACGGGATTTCTTCATAGAACGCTAGAAAGAAGAATACTGAGTAAGTTCTTTGTGTTGCCTCTATTCAACTCACAGAGGTGAACTGTCCTTTAGACAGAGCAGATGTGAAACCCTCTTTTTGTGATATTTGCAGGTGGAGATTTCAAGCGCTTTTAGGCCAAATGTAGAAAAGGAAATATCTTCGTATAAAAACTAGACAGAATCATTCTCAGAAACTACTTTGTGATGTGTGCGTTCAATTCACAGAGTATAACCTTTCTTTTGATGGAGGAGTTTGGAGACACTGTCTTTGTAAAGTCTGCAAGTGGATATTTGGACCTCTTTGAGGCCTTCGTTGGAAACGGGATTTCCTCATATAATGTTACACAGAAGAATTCTCAGTAACTTATTTGTGGTGTGTGTATTCAACTCACAGAGTTGAACCTTCCTTCAGAAAGAGCAGATATGAAACACTCTTTTTGTGGAGTTTCCATGTGGAGATTTCAATCGCTTTGAGACCAAAGGTAGAAAAGGAAACATCTTCGTATAAAAACTAGACAGAATCATTCACAGAAACTACTTTGTGATGTGTATGTTCAACTCAAGGAGTTTAACCTTTCTTTTGATGGAGCAGTTTGGAAACACTCTGTCTGTAAAGTCTGCAAGCAGATATTTGGACCTCTTTGAGGCCTTCGTTGGAAACGGGATTTCTTCATATAATGTTTGATAGGAGAAGTCTCAGTAACTTCTTTGTGCTGTGTGTATTCAACTCATAGAGTTGAACTTTCCTTTAGAAGAGCAGATGTTAAACACCCTTTTTGTGGAATTTGCAGCTGGAGATTTCAAGCGCTTTGAGGCCTACGGTAGAAAAGGAAACATCTTCTTATAAAATCTAGACAGAATCATTCACAGAAACTTCTTTTTGATGTGTGTGTTCAGCTCACAGAGTTTAACCTTTCTTTTGATGGAGCAGTTTGGAAACACTCTCTTTGTAATGTCTGCAAGTGGATATTTGGACGTCTTTGAGGCCTTCGTTGGAAACGGGATTTCTTCATGTAATGTTCGACAGAAGAATTCTCAGTAACTTATTTGTGGTGTATGTATTCAACTCACAGAGTTGAACCTTCCTTTAGACAGAGCAGATTTGAAACACCCTATTTGTGCAGTTTCCAGTTGGAGATTTCAATCGCTTTGAGACGAAATGTAGAAAAGGAAACATCTTCGTATAAAAACTAGACAGAATCATTCTCAGAAACTACTTTGCAATGGGTGCGTTCAACTCAAGGAGTTTAAGCTTTCTTTTCATAGAGTACTTTGGAAACACTCTGTCTGTAATGTCTGCAAGCAGATATTTGGACCTCTTTGAGGCCTTCGTTTGAAACGGGATTTCTTCATATAACGCTAGAAAGAAGAATACTGAGTAAGTTCTTTGTGTTGCCTCTATTCAACTCACAGAGGGGAACTGTCCTTTAGACTGAGCAGATGTGAAACCCTCTTTTTGTGATATTTGCAGTTGGAGATTTCAAGCGCTTTTAGGCCAATCATAGAAACGGAAATATCTTCGTATAAAAACAAGACAGAATCATTCTCAGAAACTACTTTGTGATGTTTGCGTTCAACTCAAGGAGTTTAAGCTTTCTTTTCCTAGAGTAGTTTGGAAAAACTCTGTCTGTAAAGTCTGCAAGCAGATATTTGGACCTCTTTGAGGCCTTCGTTGGAAACGGGATTTCTTCATATAACGCTACAAAGAAGAATACTGAGTAAGTTCTTTGTGTTGCCTCTATTCAACTCACAGAGGTGAACTGTCCTTTAGACAGAGCAGATGTGAAACCCTCTTTTTGTGATATTTGCAGGTGGAGATTTCAAGCGCTTTTAGGCCAAATGTAGAAAAGGAAATATCTTCGTATAAAAACTAGACAGAATCATTCTCAGAAACTACTTTGTGATGTGTGCGTTCAATTCACAGAGTATAACCTTTCTTTTGATGGTGGAGTTTGGAGACACTGTCTTTGTAAGTCTGAAAGTGGATATTTGGACCTCTTTGCGGCCTTCATTGGAAACGGGATTTCCTCATATAATGTTACACAGAAGAATTCTCAGTAACTTATTTGTGGTGTGTGTATTCAACTCACAGAGTTGAACCTTCCTTCAGAAAGAGCAGATTTGAAACACTCTTTTTCTGGAGTTTCCATGTGGAGATTTCAATCGCATTGAGACCAAAGGTAGAAAAGGAAACATCTTCGTATAAAAACTAGACAGAATCATTCACAGAAACTACTTTGTGATGTGTGTGTTCAACTCAAGGAGTTTAACCTTTCTTTTGATGGAGCAGTTTGGAAACACTCTGTCTGTAAAGTCTGCAAGCAGATATTTGGACCTCTTTGAGGCCTTCGTTGGAAACGGGATTTCTTCATATAATGTTTGATAGGAGAAGTCTCACTAACTTCTTTGTGCTGTGTGTATTCAACTCATAGAGTTGAACTTTCCTTTAGAAGAGCAGATGTTAAACACCCTTTTTGTGGAATTTGCAGCTGGAGATTTCAAGCGCTTTGAGGCCTACGGTAGAAAAGGAAACATCTTCTTATAAAATCTAGACAGAATCATTCACAGAAACTTCTTTTCGATGTGTGTGTTCAGCTCACCGAGTTTAACCTTTCTTTTGATGGAGCAGTTTGGAAACACTCTGTTTGTAATGTCTGCAAGTGGATATTTGGACCTCTTTGAGGCCTTCGTTGGAAACGGGATTTCTTCAAGTAATGGTCGACAGAAGAATTCTCAGTAACTTATTTGTGGTGTGTGTATTCAACTCACAGAGTTGAACCTTCCTTTAGACAGAGCAGATTTGAAACACCCTATTTGTGCAGTTTCCAGTTGGAGATTTCAATCGCTTTGAGACCAAATGTAGAAAAGGAAACATCTTCGTATAAAAACTAGACAGAATCATTCTCAGAAACTACTTTGTGATGTGTGCGTTCAACTCAAGGAGTTTAAGCTTTCTTTTCATAGAGTAGTTTGGAAACACTCTGTCTGTAAAGTCTGCAAGCAGATATTTGGACCTCTTTGGGGCCTTCGTTGGAAACGGGATTTCTTCATAGAACGCTAGAAAGAAGAATACTGAGTAAGTTCTTTGTGTTGCCTCTATTCAACTCACAGAGGTGAACTGTCCTTTAGACAGAGCAGATGTGAAACCCTCTTTTTGTGATATTTGCAGGTGGAGATTTCAAGCGCTTTTAGGCCAAATGTAGAAAAGGAAATATCTTCGTATAAAAACTAGACAGAAATCATTCTCAGAAACTACTTTGTGATGTGTGCGTTCAATTCACAGAGTATAACCTTTCTTTTGATGGAAGAGTTTGGAGACACTGTCTTTGTAAAGTCTGCAAGTGGATATTTGGACCTCTTTGAGGCCTTCGTTGGACACGGGATTTCTTCCTGTAATGTTCGACAGAAGAATTCTCAGTAACTTATTTGTGGTGTGTGTATTCAACTCACAGAGTTGAACCTTCCTTCAGAAAGAGCAGATATGAAACACTCTTTTTGTGGAGTTTCCATGTGGAGATTTCAATCGCTTTGAGACCAAAGGTAGAAAAGGAAACATCTTCGTATAAAAACTAGACAGAATTATTCACAGAAACTACTTTGTGATGTGTGTGTTCAACTCAAGGAGTTTAACCTTTCTTTTCATGGAGCAGTTTGGAAACACTCTGTCTGTAAAGTCTGCAAACAGATATTTGGACCTCTTTGAGGCCTTCGTTGGAAACGGGATTTCTTCAAGTAATGTTCGACAGAAGAAGTCTCAGTAACTTCTTTGTGCTGTGTGTATTCAACTCATAGAGTTGAACTTTCCTTTAGAAGAGCAGATGTTAAACACCCTTTTTGTGGAATTTGCAGCTGGAGATTTCAAGCGCTTTGAGGCCTATGGTAGAAAAGGAAACATCTTCTTATAAAATCTAGACAGAATCATTCACAGAAACTTCTTTTTGATGTGTGTGTTCAGCTCACAGAGTTTAACCTTTCTTTTGATGGAGCAGTTTGGAAACACTCTGTTTGTAATGTCTGCAAGTGGATATTTGGACCTCTTTGAGGCCTTCGTTGGAAACGGGATTTCTTCAAGTAATGTTCGACAGAACAATTCTCAGTAACTTATTTGTGGTGTGAGTATTCAACTCACAGAGTTGAACCTTCCTTTAGACAGAGCAGATATGAAACACCCTATTTGTGCAGTTTCCAGTTGGAGATTTCAATCGCTTTGAGACCAAATGTAGAAAAGGAAACATCTTCGTATAAAAACTAGACAGAATCATTCTCAGAAACTACTTTGTGATGTGTGCGTTCAACTCAAGGAGTTTAAGCTTTCTTTTCATAGAGTACTTTGGAAACACTCTGTCTGTAAAGTCTGCAAGCAGATATTTGGACCTCATTGGGGTCTTCGTTGGAAACGGGATTTCTTCATAGAACGCTAGAAAGAAGAATACTGAGTAAGTTCTTTGTGTTGCCTCTATTCAACTCACAGAGGTGAACTGTCCTTTAGACAGAGCAGATGTGAAACCCTCTTTTTGTGATATTTGCAGGTGGAGATTTCAAGCGCTTTTAGGCCAAATGTAGAAAAGGAAATATCTTCGTATAAAAACTAGACAGAATCATTCTCAGAAACTACTTTGTGATGTGTGCGTACAATTCACAGAGTATAACCTTTCTTTTGATGGAGGAGTTTGGAGACACTGTCTTTGTAAAGTCTGCGTGTGGATATTTGGACCTCTTTGAGGCCTTCGTTGGAAACGGGATTTCCTCATATAATGTTACACAGAAGAATTCTCAGTAACTTATTTGTGGTGTGTGTATTCAACTCACAGAGATGAACCTTCCTTCAGAAAGAGCAGATTTGAAACACTCTTTTTGTGGAGTTTCCATGTGGAGATTTCAATCGCTTTGAGACCAAAGGTAGAAAAGGAAACATCTTCGTATAACAACTAGACAGAATCATTCACAGAAACTACTTTGTGATGTGTGTGTTCAACTCAAGGAGTTTAACCTTTCTTTTGATGGAGCAGTTTGGAAAAACTCTGTCTGTAAAGTCTGCAAGCAGATATTTGGACCTCTTTGAGGCCTTCGTTGGAAACGGGATTTCTTCATATAATGTTTGATAGGAGAAGTCTCAGTAACTTCTTTGTGCTGTGTGTATTCAACTCATAGAGTTGAACTTTCCTTTAGAAGAGCAGATGTTAAACACTCTTTTTGTGGAATTTGCAGCTGGAGATTTCAAGCGGTTTGAGGCCTACGGTAGAAAAGGAAACATCTTCTTATAAAATCTAGACAGAATCATTCACAGAAACTACTTTGTGATGTGTGTGTTCAACTCACAGAGTTTAACCTTTCTTTGGATGGAGCAGTTTGTAAACACTCTGTTTGTCACGTCTGCAAGTGGTTATTTGGACCTCTTTGAGGCCTTCGTTGGAAACCGGATTTCTTCATGTAATGTTCGACAGAAGAATTCTCAGTACCTTATTTGTGGTGTGTGTATTCAACTCACAGAGTTGAACCTTCCTTTAGACAGAGCAGATTTGAAACACCCTATTTGTGCAGTTTCCAGTTGGAGATTTCAATCGCTTGGAGGCCAATCATAGAAACGGAAATATCTTCGTATAAAAAGAAGACAGAATCATTCTCAGAAACTACTTTGTGATGTGTGCGTTCAACTCAAGGAGTTTAAGCTTTCTTTTCATAGAGTAGTTTGGAAACACTCTGTCTGTAAAGTCTGCAAGCAGATATTTGGACCTCTTTGAGGCCTTCGTTGGAAACGGGATTTCTTCATAGAACGGTAGAAAGAAGAATACTGAGTAAGTTCTTTGTGTTGCCTCTATTCAACTCACAGAGGTGAACTGTCCTTTAGACAGAGCAGATGTGAAACCCTCTTTTTGTGATATTTGCAGGTGGAGATTTCAAGCGCTTTAGGCCAAATGTAGAAAAGGAAATATCTTCGTATAAAAACTAGACAGAATCATTCTCAGAAACTACTTTGTGATGTGTGCGTTCAATTCACAGAGTATAACCTTTCTTTTGATGGAGGAGTTTGGAGACACTGTCTTTGTAAAGTCTGCAAGTGGATATTTGGACCTCTTTGAGGCCTTCGTTGGAAACGGGATTTCCTCATATAATGTTACACAGAAGAATTCTCAGTAACTTATTTGTGGTGTGTGTATTCAACTCACAGAGTTGAACCTTCCTTCAGAAAGAGCAGATTTGAAACACTCTTTTTGTGGAGTTTCCATGTGGAGATTTCAATCGCTTTGAGACAAAAGGTAGAAAAGGAAACATCTTCGTATAAAAACTAGACAGAATCATTCACAGAAACTACTTTGTGATGTGTGTGTTCAACTCACAGAGTTTAACCTTTCTTTTGATAGAGCAGTTTGGAAAAACTCTGTTTGTCACGTCTGCAAGTGGATATTTGGACCTCTTTGAGGCCTTCGTTGGAAACGGGATTTCTTCATATAATGTTTGATAGGAGAAGTCTCAGTAACTTCTTTGTGCTGTGTGTATTCAACTCACAGAACTGAACTTTACTTTAGACAGAGCAGATGTTAAACACACTTTTTGTGGAATTTGCAGCTGGAGTTTTCTAGCGCTTTGAGGCCTGTGTTAGAAAAGGAAATATCTTCTTATAAAATCTAGACAGAATCATTCACAGAAACTTCTTTTCGATGTGTGTGTTCAGCTCACAGAGTTTAACCTTTCTTTTGATGGAGCAGTTTGGAAACACTCTGTTTGTAATGTCTGCAAGTGGATATTTGGACCTCTTTGAGGCCTTCGTTGGAAACGGGATTTCATCAAGTAATGGTCGACAGAAGAATTCTCAGTAACTTATTTGTGGTGTGTGTATTCAACTCACAGAGTTGAACCTTCCTTTAGACAGAGCAGATTTGAAACACCCTATTTGTGCAGTTTCCAGTTGGAGATTTCAATCGCTTTGAGACCAAATGTAGAAAAGGAAACATCTTCGTATAAAAACTAGACAGAATCATTCTCAGAAACTACTTTGTGATGTGTGTGTTCAACTCACGGAGTTTAAGCTTTCTTTTCATAGAGTAGTTTGGAAACACTCTGTCTGTAAAGTCTGCAAGCAGATATTTGGACCTCTTTGAGGCCTTCGTTGGAGAAGGGATTTCTTCATATAACGCTAGAAAGAAGAATACTGAGTAAGTTCTTTGTGTTGCCTCTATTCAACTCACAGAGGTGAACTGTCCTTTAGACAGAGCAGATGTGAAACCCTCTTTTTGTGATATTTGCAGGTGGAGATTTCAAGCGCTTTTAGGCCAAATGTAGAAAAGGAAATATCTTCGTATAAAAACTAGACAGAATCATTCTCAGAAACTACTTTGTGATGTGTGCGTTCAATTCACAGAGTATAACCTTTCTTTTGATGGAGGAGTTTGGAGACACTGTCTTTGTAAAGTCTACAAGTGGATATTTGGACCTCTTTGAGGCCTTCGTTGGAAACGGGATTTCCTCATATAATGTTACACAGAAGAATTCTCACTAACTTATTTGTGGTGTGTGTATTCAACTCACAGAGATGAACCTTCCTTCAGAAAGAGCAGATTTGAAACACTCTTTTTGTGGAGTTTCCATGTGGAGATTTCAATCGCTTTGAGACCAAAGGTAGAAAAGGAAACATCTTCGTATAACAACTAGACAGAATCATTCACAGAAACTACTTTGTGATGTGTGTGTTCAACTCAAGGAGTTTAACCTTTCTTTTGATGGAGCAGTTTGGAAACACTCTGTCTGTAAAGTCTGCAAGCAGATATTTGGACCTCTTTGAGGCCTTCGTTGGAAACGGGATTTCTTCATATAATGTTTGATAGGAGAAGTCTCAGTAACTTCTTTGTGCTGTGTGTATTCAACTCATAGAGTTGAACTTTCCTTTAGAAGAGCAGATGTTAATGACCCTTTTTGTGGAATTTGCAGCTGGAGATTTCAAGCACTTTGAGGCCTACGGTAGAAAAGGAAACATCTTCTTATAAAATCTAGACAGAATCATTCACAGAAACTTCTTTTTGATGTGTGTGTTCAGCTCACAGAGTTTAACCTTTCTTTTGATGGAGCAGTTTGGAAACACTCTGTTTGTAATGTCTGCAAGTGGATATTTGGACCTCTTTGAGGCCTTCGTTGGAAACGGGATTTCTTCCTGTAATGTTCGACAGAAGAATTCTCAGTAACTTATGTGTGGTGTGTGTATTCAACTCACAGAGTTGAACCTTCCTTTAGACAGAGCAGATTTGAAACACCCTATTTGTGCAGTTTCCAGTTGGAGATTTCAATCGCTTTGAGACCAAATGTAGAAAAGGAAACATCTTCGTATAAAAACTAGACAGAATCATTCTCAGAAACTACTTTGTGATGTGTGCGTTCAACTCAAGGAGTTTAAGCTTTCTTTTCATAGAGTAGTTTGGAAACACTCTGTCTGTAAAGTCTGCAAGCAGATATTTGGACCTCTTTGAGGCCTTCGTTGGAAACGGCATTTCTTCATATAACGCTAGAAAGAAGAATACTGAGTAAGTTCTTTGTGTTGCCTCTATTCAACTCACAGAGGTGAACTGTCCTTTAGACAGAGCAGATGTGAAACCCTCTTTTTGTGATATTTGCACGTGGAGATTTCAAGCGCTTTTAGGCCAAATGTAGAAAAGGAAATATCTTCGTATAAAAACTAGACAGAATCATTCTCAGAAACTACTTTGTGATGTGTGCGTTCAATTCACAGAGTATAACCTTTCTTTTGATGGAGGAGTTTGGAGACACTGTCTTTGTAAAGTCTGCAAGTGGATATTTGGACCTCTTTGAGGCCTTCGTTGGAAACGGGATTTCCTCATATAATGTTACACAGAAGAATTCTCAGTAACTTATTTGTGGTGTGTGTATTGAACTCACAGAGATGAACCTTCCTTCAGAAAGAGCAGATTTGAAACACTCTTTTTGTGGAGTTTCCATGTGGAGATTTCAATCGCTTTGAGACCAAAGGTAGAAAAGGAAACATCTTCGTATAACAACAAGACAGAATCATTCACAGAAACTACTTTGTGATGTGTGTGTTCAACTCAAGGAGTTTATCCTTTCTTTTGATGGAGCAGTTTGGAAACACTCTGTCTGTAAAGTCTGCAAGCAGATATTTGGACCTCTTTGAGGCCTTCGTTGGAAACGGGATTTCTTCATATAATGTTTGATAGGAGAAGTCTCAGTAACTTCTTTGTGCTGTGTGTATTCAACTCATAGAGTTGAACTTTCCTTTAGAAGAGCAGATGTTAAACACCCTTTTTGTGGAATTTGCAGCTGGAGATTTCAAGCGCTTTGAGGCCTACGGTAGAAAAGGAAACATCTTCTTATAAAATCTAGACAGAATCATTCACAGAAACTTCTTTTTGATGTGTGTGTTCAGCTCACAGAGTATAACCTTTCTTTTGATGGAGCAGATTGGAAACACTCTGTTTGTAATGTCTACAAGTGGATATTTGGACCTCTTTGAGGCCTTCGTTGGAAACGGGATTTCTTCAAGTAATGTTCGACAGAAGAATTCTCAGTAACTTATTTGTGGTGTGTGTATTCAACTCACAGAGTTGAACCTTCCTTTAGACAGAGCAGATTTGAAACACCCTATTTGTGCAGTTTCCAGTTGGAGATTTCAATCGCTTTGAGACCAAATGTAGAAAAGGAAACATCTTCGTATAAAAACTAGACAGAATCATTCTCAGAAACTACTTTGCGTTGTGTGCGTTCAACTCAAGGAGTTTAAGCTTTCTTTTCATAGAATAGTTTGGAAACACTCTGTCTGTAAAGTCTGCAAGCAGATATTTGGACCTCTTTGAGGCCTTCGTTGGAAACGGGATTTCTTCATATAACGCTAGAAAGAAGAATACTCAGTAACTTCTTTGTGTTGCCTCTATTCAACTCACAGAGGTGAACTGTCATTTAGACAGAGCAGATGTGAAACCCTCTTTTTGTGATATTTGCAGGGTGGAGATTTTCAAGCGCTTTTAGGCCAAATGTAGAAAAGGAAATATCTTCGTATAAAAACTAGACAGAATCATTCTCAGAAACTACTTTGTGATGTGTGCGTTCAATTCACAGAGTATAACCTTTCTTTTGATGGAGGAGTTTGGAGACACTGTCTTTGTAATGTCTGCAAGTGGATATTTGGATCTCTTTGACGCCTTCGTTGGAAACGGGATTTCCTCATATAATGTTACACAGAAGAATTCTCAGTAACTTATTTGTGGTGTGTGTATTCAACTCACAGAGTTGAACCTTCCTTCAGAAAGAGCAGATTTGAAACACTCTTTTTGTGGAGTTTCCATGTGGAGATTTCAATCGCTTTGAGACCAAAGGTAGAAAAGGAAACATCTTCGTATAAAAACTAGACAGAATCATTCACAGAAACTACTTTGTGATGTGTGTGTTCAACTCAAGGAGTTTAACCTTTCTTTTGATGGAGCAGTTTGGAAAAACTCTGTCTGTAAATTCTGCAAGTAGATATTTGGACCTCTTTGGGGCCTTCGTTGGAAACGGGATTTCTTCATAGAATGCTAGAAAGAAGAATACTGAGTAAGTTCTTTGTGTTGCCTCTATTCAACTCACAGAGGTGAACTGTCCTTTAGACAGAGCAGATGTGAAACCCTCTTTTTGTGATATTTGCAGGTGGAGATTTCAAGCGCTTTTAGGCCAAATGTAGAAAAGGAAATATCTTCGTATAAAAACTAGACAGAATCATTCTCAGAAACTACTTTGTGATGTGTGCATTCAATTCACAGAGTATAACCTTTCTTTTGATGGAGGAGTTTGGAGACACTGTCTTTGTAAAGTCTGCAAGTGGATATTTGGACCTCTTTGAGGCCTTCGTTGGAAACGGGATTTCCTCATATAATGTTACACAGAAGAATTCTCAGTAACTTATTTGTGGTGTGTGTATTCAACTCACAGAGATGAACCTTCCTTCAGAAAGAGCAGATTTGAAACACTCTTTTTGTGGAGTTTCCATGTGGAGATTTCAATCGCTTTGAGACCAAAGGTAGAAAAGGAAACATCTTCGTATAACAACTAGACAGAATCATTCACAGAAACTACTTTGTGATGTGTGTGTTCAACTCAAGGAGTTTAACCTTTCTTTTGATGGAGCAGTTTGGAAACACTCTGTCTGTAAAGTCTGCAAGCAGATATTTGGACCTCTTTGAGGCCTTCGTTGGAAACGGGATTTCTTCATATAATGTTTGATAGGAGAAGTCTCAGTAACTTCTTTGTGCTGTGTGTATTCAACTCATAGAGTTGAACTTTCCTTTAGAAGAGCAGATGTTAAACACCCTTTTTGTGGAATTTGCAGCTGGAGATTTCAAGCGCTTTGAGGCCTACGGTAGAAAAGGAAACATCTTCTTATAAAATCTAGACAGAATCATTCACAGAAACTTCTTTTTGATGTGTGTGTTCAGCTCACAGAGTTTAACCTTTCTTTTGATGTAGCAGTTTGGAAACACTCTGTTTGTAATGTCTGCAAGTGGATATTTGGACCTCTTTGAGGCCTTCGTTGGAAACGGGATTTCTTCCTGTAATGTTCGACAGAAGAATTCTCAGTAACTTATTTGTGGTGTGTGTATTCAACTCACAGAGTTGAACCTTCCTTTAGACAGAGCAGATTTGAAACACCCTATTTGTGCAGTTTCCAGTTGGAGATTTCAATCGCTTTGAGACCAAATGTAGAAAAGGAAACATCTTCGTATAAAAACTAGACAGAATCATTCTCAGAAACTACTTTGTGATGTGTGCGTTCAACTCAAGGAGTTTAAGCTTTCTTTTCATAGAGTAGTTTGGAAACACTCTGTCTGTAAAGTCTGCAAGCAGATATTTGGACCTCTTTGGGGCCTTCGTTGTAAACGGGATTTCTTCATAGAACGCTAGAAAGAAGAATACTGAGTAAGTTCTTTGTGTTGCCTCTATTCAACTCACAGAGGTGAACTGTCCTTTAGACAGAGCAGATGTGAAACCCTCTTTTTGTGATATTTGCAGGTGGAGATTTCAAGCGCTTTTAGGCCAAATGTAGAAAAGGAAATATCTTCGTATAAAAACTAGACAGAATCATTCTCAGAAACTACTTTGTGATGTGTGCGTTCAATTCACAGAGTATAACCTTTCTTTTTATGGAGGAGTTTGGAGACACTGTCTTTGTAAAGTCTGCAAGTGGATATTTGGACCTCTTTGAGGCCTTCGTTGGAAACGGGATTTCCTCATATAATGTTACACAGAAGAATTCTCAGTAACTTATTTGTGGTGTGTGTATTCAACTCACAGAGATGAACCTTCCTTCAGAAAGAGCAGATTTGAAACACTCTTTTTGTGGAGTTTCCATGTGGAGATTTCAATCGCTTTGAGACCAAAGGTAGAAAAGGAAACATCTTCGTATAAAAACTAGACAGAATAATTCACAGAAACTACTTTGTGATGTGTGTGTTCAACTCAAGGAGTTTAACCTTTCTTTTGATGGAGCAGTTTGGAAACACTCTGTCTGTAAAGTCTGCAAGCAGATATTTGGACCTCTTTAAGGCCTTCGTTGGAAACGGGATTTCTTCATATAATGTTTGATAGGAGAAGTCTCAGTAACTTCTTTGTGCTGTGTGTATTCAACTCATGGAGTTGAACTTTCCTTTAGAAGAGCAGATGTTAAACACACTTTTTGTGGAATTTGCAGCTGGAGATTTCAAGCGCTTTGAGGCCTACGGTAGAAAAGGAAACATCTTCTTCTAAAGTCTAGACAGAATCATTCACAGCAAACTTCTTTTTGATGTGTGTGTTCAGCTCACAGAGTTTAACCTTTCTTTTGATGGAGCAGTTGGGAAACACACTGTTTGTAATGTCTGCAAGTGGATATTTGGACCTCTTTGAGGCCTTCGTTGGAAACGGGATTTCTTCATGTAATGTTCGACAGAAGAATTCTCAGTAACTTATTTGTGGTGTGTGTATTCAACTCACAGAGTTGAACCTTCCTTTAGACAGAGCAGATTTGAAACACCCTATTTGTGCAGTTTCCAGTTGGAGATTTCAATCGCTTTGAGACCAAATGTAGAAAAGGAAACATCTTCGTATAAAAACTAGACAGAATCATTCTCAGAAACTACTTTGTGATGTGTGCGTTCAACTCAAGGAGTTTAAGCTTTCTTTTCATAGAGTAGTTTGGAAACACTCTGTCTGTAAAGTCTGCAAGCAGATATTTGGACCTCTTTGAGGCCTTCGTTGGAAACGGGATTTCTTCATAGAACGCTATAAAGAAGAATACTGAGTAAGTTCTTTGTGTTGCCTCTATTCAACTCACAGAGGTGAACTGTCCTTTAGACAGAGCAGGTGTGAAACCCTCTTTTTGTGATATTTGCACGTGGAGATTTCAAGCGCTTTTAGGCCAAATGTAGAAAAGGAAATATCTTCGTATAAAAACTAGACAGAATCATTCTCAGAAACTACTTTGTGATGTGTGCGTTCAATTCACAGAGTATAACCTTTCTTTTGATGGAGGAGTTTGGAGACACTGTCTTTGTAAAGTCTGCAAGTGGATATTTGGACCTCTTTGAGGCCTTCGTTGGAAACGGGATTTCCTCATATAATGTTACCCAGAAGAATTCTCAGTAACTTATTTGTGGTGTGTGTATTCAACTCACAGAGTTGAACCTTCCTTTAGACAGAGCAGATTTGAAACACTCTTTTTGTGGAGTTTCCATGTGGAGATTTCAATCGCTTTGAGACCAAAGGTAGAAAAGGAAACATCTTCGTATAAAAACTAGACAGAATCATTCTCAGAAACTACTTTGTGATGTGTGTGTTCAACTCAAGGAGGTTAACCTTTCTTTTGATGGAGCAGTTTGGAAACACTCTGTCTGCAAAGTCTGCAAACAGATATTTGGACCTCCTTTGAGGCCTTCGTTGGAAACGGGATTTCTTCATATAATGTTTGATAGGAGAAGTCTCAGTAACTTCTTTGTGCTGTGTGTATTCAACTCATAGAGTTGAACTTTCCTTTAGAAGAGCAGATGTTAAACACCCTTTTTGTGGAATTTGCAGCTGGAGATTTCAAGCGCTTTGAGGCCTACGGTAGAAAAGGAAACATCTTCTTATAAAATCTAGACAGAATCATTCACAGAAACTTCTTTTTGATGTGTGTGTTCAGCTCAAAGAGTTTAACCTTTCTTTTGATGGAGCAGTTTGGAAACACTCTGTTTGTAATGTCTGCAAGTGGATATTTGGACCTCTTTGAGGCCTTCGTTGGAAACGGGATTTCTTCAAGTAATGTTCGATGGAAGAATTCTCAGTAACTTATTTGTGGTGTGTGTATTCAACTCACAGAGTTGAACCTTCCTTTAGACAGAGCAGTTTTGAAACACCCTATTTGTGCAGTTTCCAGTTGGAGATTTCAATCGCTTTGAGACCAAATGTAGAAAAGGAAACATCTTCGTATAAAAACTAGACAGAATAATTCTCAGAAACTACTTTCTGATGTGTGCGTTCAACTCAAGGAGTTTAAGCTTTCTTTTCATAGACTAGTTTGGAAACACTCTGTCTGTAAAGTCTGCAAGCAGATATTTGGGCCTCTTTGGGGACTTCGTTAGAAACGGGATTTCTTCATAGAACGCTAGAAAGAAGAATACTGAGTAAGTTCTTTGTGTTGCCTCTATTCAACTCACAGAGGTGAACTGTCCTTTAGACAGAGCAGATGTGAAACCCTCTTTTTGTGATATTTGCAGGTGGAGATTTCAAGCGCTTTTAGGCCAAATGTAGAAAAGGAAATATCTTCGTATAAAAACTAGACAGAATCATTCTCAGAAACTACTTTGTGATGTGTGCGTTCAATTCACAGAGTATAACCTTTCTTTTGATGGAGGAGTTTGGAGACACTGTCTTTGTAAAGTCTGCAAGTGGATATTTGGACCTCTTTGAGGCCTTCGTTGGAAACGGGATTTCCTCATATAATGTTACCCAGAAGAATTCCTCAGTAACTTATTTGTGGTGTGTGTATTCAACTCACAGAGATGAACCTTCCTTCAGAAAGAGCAGATTTGAAACACTCTTTTTGTGGAGTTTCCATGTGGAGATTTCAATCGCTTTGAGACCAAAGGTAGAAAAGGAAACATCTTCGTATAAAAACTAGACAGAATCATTCACAGAAACTACATTGTGATGTGTGTGTTCAACTCAAGGAGTTTAACCTTTCTTTTGATGGAGCAGTTTGGAAAAACTCTGTCTGTAAAGTCTGCAAGCAGATATTTGGACCTCTTTGAGGCCTTCGTTGGAAACGGGATTTCTTCATATAGTGTTTGATAGGAGAAGTCTCAGTAACTTCTTTGTGCTGTGTGTGTTCAACGCATAGAGTTGAACTTTCCTTTAGAAGAGCAGATGTTAAACACCCTTTTTGTGGAATTTGCAGCTGGAGATTTCAAGCGCTTTGAGGCCTACGGTAGAAAAGCAAACATCTTCTTATAAAATCTAGACAGAATCATTCACAGAAACTTCTTTTTGATGTGTGTGTTCAGCTCACAGAGTTTAACCTTTCTTTTGATGGAGCAGGTTGGAAACACTCTGTTTGTAATGTCTGCAAGTGGATATTTGGACCTCTTTGAGGCCTTCGTTGGAAACGGGATTTCTTCAAGTAATGTTCGACAGAAGAATTCTCAGTAACTTATTTGTGGTGTGTGTATTCAACTCACAGAGTTGAACCTTCCTTTAGACAGAGCAGATTTGAAACACTCTTTTTGTGGAGTTTCCAGTTGGAGATTTCAATCACTTTGAGACCAAATGTAGAAAAGGAAACATCTTCGTATAAAAACTAGACAGAATCATTCTCAGAAACTACTTTGTGATGTGTGCGTTCAACTCAAGGAGTTTAAGCTTTCTTTTCATAGAGTAGTTTGGAAACACTCTGTCTGTAAAGTCTGCAAGCAGATATTTGGACCTCTTTGGGGCCTTCGTTGGAAACGGGATTTCTTCATAGAACGCTAGAAAGAAGAATACTGAGTAAGTTCTTTGTGTTGCCTCTATTCAACTCACAGAGGTGAACTGTCCTTTAGACAGAGCAGATGTGAAACCCTCTTTTTGTGATATTTGCAGGTGGAGATTTCAAGCGCTTTTAGGCCAAATGTAGAAAAGGAAATATCTTCGTATAAAAACTAGACAGAATCATTCTCAGAAACTACTTTGTGATGTGTGCGTTCAATTCACAGAGTATAACCTTTCTTTTGATGGAGGAGTTTGGAGACACTGTCTTTGTAAAGTCTGCAAGTGGATATTTGGACCTCTTTGAGGCCTTCGTTGGAAACGGGATTTCCTCATATAATGTTACACAGAAGAATTCTCAGTAACTTATTTGTGGTGTGTGTATTCAACTCACAGAGTTGAACCTTCCTTCAGAAAGAGCAGATTTGAAACACTCTTTTTGTGGAGTTTCCATGTGGAGATTTCAATCGCTTTGAGACCAAAGGTAGAAAAGGAAACATCTTCGTATAAAAACTAGACAGAATCATTCACAGAAACTACTTTGTGATGTGTGTGTTCAACTCAAGGAGTTTAACCTTTCTATTCATGGAGCAGTTTGGAAAAACTCTGTCTGTAAAGTCTGCAAGCAGATATTTGGACCTCTTTGAGGCCTTCTTTGGAAACGGGATTTCTTCATATAATGTTTGATAGGAGAAGTCTCAGTACCTTCTTTGTGCTGTGTGTATTCAACTCATAGAGTTGAACTTTCCTTTAGAAGAGCAGATGTTAAACACCCTTTTTGTGGAATTTGCAGCTGGAGATTTCAAGCGCTTTGAGGCCTACGGTAGAAAAGGAAACATCTTCTTATAAAATCTAGACAGAATCATTCACAGAAACTTCTTTTTGATGTGTGTGTTCAGCTCACAGAGTTTAACCTTTCTTTTGATGGAGCAGTTTGGAAACACTCTGTTTGTAATATCTGCAAGTGGATATTTGGACCTCTTTGAGGCCTTCGTTGGAAACGGGATTTCTTCCTGTAATGTTCGACAGAAGAATTCTCAGTAACTTATTTGTGGTGTGTGTATTCAACTCACAGAGCTGAACCTTCCTTTAGACAGAGCAGATTTGAAACAGCCTATTTGTGCAGTTTCCAGTTGGAGATTTCAATCGCTTTGAGACCAAATGTAGAATAGGAAACATCTTCGTATAAAAACTAGACAGAATCATTCTCAGAAACTACTTTGTGATGTGTGCGTTCAACTCAAGGAGTTTAAGCTTTCTTTTCATAGAGTAGTTTGGAAACACTCTGTCTGTAAAGTCTGCAAGCAGATATTTGGACCTCTTTGAGGCCTTCGTTGGAAACGGGATTTCTTCATAGAACGCTAGAAAGAAGAATACTGAGTAAGTTCTTTGTGTTGCCTCTATTCAACTCACAGAGGTGAACTGTCCTTTAGACAGAGCAGATGTGAAACCCTCTTTTTGTGATATTTGCAGGTGGAGATTTCAAGCGCTTTTAGGCCAAATGTAGAAAAGGAAATATTCTTCGTATAAAAACTAGACAGAATCATTCTCAGCAAACTACTTTGTGATGTGTGCGTTCAATTCACAGCAGTATAACCTTTCTTTTGATGGAGGAGTTTGGAGACACTGTCTTTGTAAAGTCTGCAAGTGGATATTTGGACCTCTTTGAGGCCTTCGTTGGAAACGGGATTTCCTCATATAATGTTACACAGAAGAATTCTCAGTAGCTTATTTGTGGTGTTTGTATTCAACTGACAGAGTTGAACCTTCCTTCAGAAAGAGCAGATTTGAAACAATCTTTTTGTGGAGTATCCATGTGGAGAATTCAATCGCTTTGAGACCAAAGGTAGAAAACGAAACATCTTCGTATAAAAACTAGACAGAATCATTCACAGAAACTACTTTGTGACGTGTGTGTTCAACTCAAGGAGTTTAACCTTTCTTTTGATGGAGCAGTTTGGAAAAACTCTGTCTGTAAAGTCTGCAAGCAGATATTTGGACCTCTTTGAGGCCTTCGTTGGAAACGGGATTTCTTCATATAATGTTTGATAGGAGAAGTCTCAGTAACTTCTTTGTGCTGTGTGTATTCAACTCATAGAGTTGAACTTTCCTTTAGAAGAGCAGATGTTAAACACCCTTTTTGTGGAATTTGCAGCTGGAGATTTCAAGCGCTTTGAGGCCTACGGTAGAAAAGGAAACATCTTCTTATAAAATCTAGACAGAATCATTCACAGAAACTTCTTTTTCATGTGTGTGTTCAGCTCACAGAGTTTAACCTTTCTTTTGATGGAGCAGTTTGGAAACACTCTGTTTGTAATGTCTGCAAGTGGATATTTGGACCTCTTTGAGGCCTTCGTTGGAAACGGGATTTCTTCCTGTAATGTTCGACAGAAGAATTCTCAGTAACTTATTTGTGGTGTGTGTATTCAACTCACAGAGTTGAAACTTCCTTTAGACAGAGCAGATTTGAAACAGCCTATTTGTGCAGTTTCCAGTTGGAGATTTCAATCGCTTTGAGACCAAATGTAGAAAGGGAAACATCTTCGTATAAAAACTAGACAGAATCATTCTCAGAAACTACTTTGTGATGTGTGCGTTCAACTCAAGGAGTTTAAGCTTTCTTTTCATAGAGTAGTTTGGAAACACTCTGTCTGTAAAGTCTGCAAGCAGATATTTGGACCTCTTTGGGGCCTTCGTTGGAAACGGGATTTCTTCATAGAACGCTAGAAAGAAGAATACTGAGTAAGTTCTTTGTGTTGCCTCTATTCAACTCACAGAGGTGAACTGTCCTTTAGACAGAGCAGATGTGAAACCCTCTTTTTGTGATATTTGCAGGTGGAGATTTCAAGCGCTTTTAGGCCAAATGTAGAAAAGGAAATATCTTCGTATAAAAACTAGACAGAATCATTCTCAGAAACTACTTTGTGATGTGTGCGTTCAATTCACAGAGTAAAACCTTTCTTTGGAGGGAGGAGTTTGGAGACACGGTCTTTGAAAAGTCTGCAAGTGGATATTTGGACTTCTTTGAGGCCTTCGTTGGAAACGGGATTTCCTCATAGAATGTTACACAGAAGAATTCTCAGTAACTTATTTGTGGTGTGTGTATTCAACTCACAGAGTTGAACCTTCCTTCAGAAAGAGCAGATGTGAAACACTCTTTTTGTGGAGTTTCCATGTGGAGATTTCAATCGCTTTGAGACCAAAGGTAGAAAAGGAAATATCTTCGTATAAAAACTAGACAGAATCATTCACAGAAACTACTTTTTGATGTGTGTGTTCAACTCACGGAGTTTAAACTTTCTTTTGATGCAGCAGTTTGGAAACACTCTGTTTGTCACGTCTGCAAGTCGGATATTTGGACCTCTTTGAGGCCTTCAGTTGGAAACGGGATTTCTTCATATAATGTTTGATAGGAGAAGTCTCAGTAACTTCTTTGTGCTGTGTGTATTCAACTCATAGAGTTGAACTTTCCTTTAGAAGAGCAGATGTTAAACACCCTTTTTGTGGAATTTGCAGCTGGAGATTTCAAGCGCTTTGAGGCCTACGGTAGAAAAGGAAACATCTTCTTATAAAATCTAGACAGAATCATTCACAGAAACTTCTTTTTGATGTGTGTGTTCAGCTCACAGAGTTTAACCTTTCTTTTCATGGAGCAGTTTGGAAACACTCTGTTTGTAATGTCTGCAAGTGGATATTTGGACCTCTTTGAGGCCTTCGTTGGAAACGGAATTTCTTCAAGTAATGTTCGACAGAAGAATTCTCAGTAACTTATTTGTGGTGTGTGTATTCAACTCACAGAGTTGAACCTTCCTTTAGACAGAGCAAATTTGAAACACCCTATTTGTGCAGTTTCCAGTTGGAGATTTCAATCGCTTTGAGACCAAATGTAGAAAAGGAAACATCTTCGTATAAAAACTAGACAGAATCATTCTCAGAAACTACTTTGTGATGTGTGCGTTCAACTCAAGGAGTTTAAGCTTTCTTTTCATAGAGTAGTTTGGAAACACTCTGTCTGTAAAGTCTGCAAGCAGATATTTGGACCTCTTTGGGGCCTTCGTTGGAAACGGGATTTCTTCATAGAACGCTAGAAAGAAGAATACTGAGTAAGTTCTTTGTGTTGCCTCTATTCAACTCACAGAGGTGAACTGTCCTTTAGAGAGAGCAGATGTGAAACCCTCTTTTTGTGATATTTGCAGATGGAGATTTCAAGCGCTTTTAGGCCAAATGTAGAAAAGGAAATATCTTCGTATAAAAACTAGACAGAATCATTCTCAGAAACTACTTTGTGATGTGTGCGTTGAATTCACAGAGTATAACCTTTCTTTTGATGGACGAGTTTGGAGACACTGTCTTTGTAAAGTCTGCAAGTGGATATTTGGACCTCTTTGAGGCCTTCGTTGGAAACGGGATTTCCTCATATAATGTTACACTGAAGAATTCTCAGTAACTTATTTGTGGTGTGTGTATTCAACTCACAGAGTTGAACCTTCCTTCAGAAAGAGCAGATTTGAAACACTCTTTTTGTGGAGTTTCCATGTGGAGATTTCAATCGCTTTGAGACCAAAGGTAGAAAAGGAAACATCTTCGTATAAAAACTAGACAGAATCATTCACAGAAACTACTTTGTGATGTGTGTGTTCAACTCAAGGAGTTTAACCTTTCTTTTGATGGAGCAGTTTGGAAAAACTCTGTCTTTAAAGTCTGCAAGCAGATATTTGGACCTCTTTGAGGCCTTCGTTGGAAACGGGATTTCTTCATATAATGTTTGATAGGAGAAGTCTCAGTAACTTCTTTGTGCTGTGTGTATTCAACTCATAGAGTTGAACTTTCCTTTAGAAGAGCAGATGTTAAACACCCTTTTTGTGGAATTTGCAGCTGGAGATTTCAAGCGCTTTGAGGCCTACGGTAGAAAAGGAAACATCTTCTTATAAAATCTAGACAGAATCATTCACAGAAACTTCTTTTTGATGTGTGTGTTCAGCTCACAGAGTTTAACCTTTCCTTTGATGGAGCAGTTTGGAAACACTCTGTTTGTAATGTCTGCAAGTGGATATTTGGACCTCTTTGAGGCCTTCGTTGGAAACGGGATTTCTTCATGTAATGTTCGACAGAAGAATTCTCAGTAACTTATTTGTGGTGTGTGTATTCAACTCACAGAGTTGAACCTTCCTTTAGACAGAGCAGATTTGAAACACCCTATTTGTGCAGTTTCCAGTTGGAGATTTCAATCGCTTTGAGACCAAATGTAGAAAAGGAAACATCTTCGTATAAAAACTAGACAGAATCATTCCCAGAAACTACTTTGTGATGTGTGCGTTCAACTCAAGGAGTTTAAGCTTTCTTTTCATAGAGTAGTTTGGAAACACTCTGTCTCTAAAGTCTGCAAGCAGATATTTGGACCTCTTTGGGGCCCTTCGTTGGAAACGGGATTTCTTCATAGAACGCTAGAAAGAAGAATACTGAGTAAGTTCTTTGTGTTGCCTCTATTCAACTCAGAGAGGTGAACTGTCCTTTAGACAGAGCAGATGTGAAACCCTCTTTTTCTGATATTTGCAGGTGGAGATTTCAAGCGCTTTTAGGCCAAATGTAGAAAAGGAAATATCTTCGTATAAAAACTAGACAGAATCATTCTCAGAAACTACTTTGTGATGTGTGCGTTCAATTCACAGAGTATAACCTTTCTTTTGATGGAGGAGTTTGGAGACACTGTCTTTCTAAAGTCTGCAAGTGGATATTTGGAACTCTTTGAGGCCTTCGTTGGAAACGGGATTTCCTCATATATGTTACACAGAAGAATTCTCAGTAACTTATTTGTGGTGTGTGTATTCAACTCACAGAGTTGAACCTTCCTTCAGAAAGAGCAGATTTGAAACACTCTTTTTGTGGAGTTTCCATGTGGAGATTTCAATCGCTTTGAGACCAAAGGTAGAAAAGGAAACATCTTCGTATAAAAACTAGGCGGAATCATTCACAGAAACTACTTTGTGATGTGTGTGTTCAACTCAAGGAGTTTAACCTTTCTTTTGATGGAGCAGTTTGTAAAAACTCTGTCTGTAAAGTCTGCAAGCAGATATTTGGACCTCTTTGAGGCCTTCGTTGGAAACGGGATTTCTTCATATAATGTTTGATAGGAGAAGTCTCAGTAACTTCTTTGTGCTGTGTGTATTCAACTCATAGAGTTGAACTTTCCTTTAGAAGAGCAGATGTTAAACACCCTTTTTGTGGAATTTGCAGCTGGAGATTTCAAGCGCTTTGAGGCCTACGGTAGAAAAGGAAACATCTTCTTATAAAATCTAGACAGAATCATTCACAGAAACTTCTTTTTGATGTGTGTGTTCAGCTCACAGAGTTTAACCTTTCTTTTGATGGAGCAGTTTGGAAACACACTGTTTGTAATGTCTGCAAGTGGATATTTGGACCTCTTTGAGGCCTTCGTTGGAAACGGGATTTCTTCCTGTAATGTTCGACAGAAGAATTCTCAGTAACTTATTTGTGGTGTGTGTATTCAACTCACAGAGTTGAACCTTCATTTAGACAGAGCAGATTTGAAACAGCCTATTTGTGCAGTTTCCAGTTGGAGATTTCAATCGCTTTGAGACCAAATGTAGAAAGGGAAACATCTTCGTATAAAAACTAGACAGAATCATTCTCAGAAACTACTTTGTGATGTGTGCGTTCAACTCAAGGAGTTTAAGCTTTCTTTTCATAGAGTAGTTTGGAAACAGTCTGTCTGTAAAGTCTGCAAGCAGATATTTGGACCTCATTGGGGTCTTCGTTGGAAACCGGATTTATTCATAGAACGCTAGAAAGAAGAATACTGAGTAAGTTCTTTGTGTTGCCTCTATTCAACTCACAGAGGTGAACTGTCCTTTAGACAGAGCAGATGTGAAACCCTCTTTTTGTGATATTTGCAGGTGGAGATTTCAAGCACTTTTAGGCCAAATGTAGAAAAGGAAATATCCTTCGTATAAAAACTAGACAGAATCATACTCAGAAACTACTTTGTGATGTGTGCGTTCAACTCAAGGAGTTTAAGCTTTCTTTTCATAGAGTAGTTTGGAAACACTCTGTCTGTAAAGTCTGCAAGCATATATTTGACCTCTTTGAGGCCTTCGTTGGAAACGGGATTTCTTCATAGAACGCTAGAAAGAAGAATACTGAATAAGTTCTTTGTGTGGCCTCTATTCAACTCACAGAGGTGAACTGTCCTTTAGACAGAGCAGATGTGAAACCCTCTTTTTGTGATATTTGCAGGTGGAGATTTCAAGCGCTTTTAGGCCAAGTGTAGAAAAGGAAATATCTTCGTATAAAAACTAGACAGAATCATTCTCAGAAACTACTTTGTGATGTGTGCGTTCAATTCACAGAGTATAACCTTTCTTTTGATGGAGGAGTTTGGAGACACTGTCTTTGTAAAGTCTGCAAGTGGATATTTGGACCTCTTTGAGGCCTTCGTTGGAAACGGGATTTCCTCATATAATGTTACACAGAAGAATTCTCAGTAACTTATTTGTGGTGTGTTTATTCAACTCACAGAGGTGAACCTTCCTTCAGAAAGAGCAGATTTGAAACACTCTTTTTGTGGAGTTTCCATGTGGAGATTTCAATCGCTTTGAGACCAAAGGTAGAAAAGGAAACATCTTCGTATAAAAACTAGACAGAATCATTCACAGAAACTACTTTGTGATGTGTGTGTTCAACTCAAGGAGTTTAACCTTTCTTTTGATGGAGCAGTTTGGAAAAACTCTATCTGTAAAGTCTGCAAGCGGATATTTGGACCTCTTTGAGGCCTTCGTTGGAAACGGGATTTCTTCATATAATGTTTGATAGGAGAAGTCTCAGTAACTTCTTTGTGCTGTGTGTATTCAACTCATAGAGTTGAACTTTCCTTTAGAAGAGCAGATGTTAAACACCCGTTTTGTGGAATTTGCAGGTGGAGATTTCAAGCGCTTTGAGGCCTACGGTAGAAAAGGAAACATCTTCTTATAAAATCTAGACAGAATCATTCACAGAAACTTCTTTTTGATGTGTGTGTTCAGCTCACAGAGTTTAACCTTTCTTTTGATAGAGCAGTTTGGAAACACTCTGTAATGTCTGCAAGTGGATATTTGGACCTCTTTGAGGCCTTCGTTGGAAACGGGATTTCTTCATGTAATGTTCGACAGAAGAATTCTCAGTAACTTATTTGTGTTGTGTGTATTCAACTCACAGAGTTGAACCTTCCTTTAGACAGAGCAGATTTGAAACACCCTATTTGTGCAGTTTCCAGTTGGAGATTTCAATCGCTTTGAGACCAAATGTAGAAAAGGAAACATACTTCGTATAAAAACTAGACAGAATCATTCTCAGAAACTACTTTGTGATGTGTGCGTTCAACTCAAGGAGTTTAAGCTTTCTTTTCATAGAGTAGTTTGGAAACACTCTGTCTGTAAAGTCTGCAAGCAGATATTTGGACCTCTTTGGGGCCTTCGTTGGAAACGGGATTTCTTCATAGAACGCTAGAAAGAAGAATACTGAGTAAGTTCTTTGTGTTGCCTCTATTCAACTCACAGAGGTGAACTGTCCTTTAGACAGAGCAGATGTGAAACCCTCTTTTTGTGATATTTGCAGGTGGAGATTTCAAGCGCTTTTAGGCCAAATGTAGAAAAGGAAATATCTTCGTATAAAAACTAGACAGAATCATTCTCAGAAACTACTTTGTGATGTGTGCGTTCAATTCACAGAGTATAACCTTTCTTTTGATGGAGGAGTTTGGAGACACTGTCTTTGTAAAGTCTGCAAGTGGATATTTGGACCTCTTTGAGGCCTTCGTTGGAAACGGGATTTCCTCATATAATGTTACACAGAAGAATTCTCAGTAACTTATTTGTGGTGTGTGTATTCAACTCACAGAGTTGAACCTTCCTTCAGAAAGAGCAGATTTGAAACACTCTTTTTGTGGAGTTTCCATGTGGAGATTTCAATCGCTTTGAGACCAAAGGTAGAAAAGGAAACATCTTCGTATAAAAACTAGACAGAATCATTCACAGAAACTACTTTGTGATGTGTGTGTTCAACTCAAGGAGTTTAACCTTTCTTTTGATGGAGCAGTTTGGAAAAACTCTGTCTGTAAAGTCTGCAAGCAGATATTTGGACCTCTTTGAGGCCTTCGTTGGAAACGGGATTTCTTCATAGAATGCTAGAAAGAAGAAGTCTCAGTAACTTCTTTGTGCTGTGTGTATTCAACTCATAGAGTTGAACTTTCCTTTAGAAGAGCAGATGTTAAACACCCTTTTTGTGGAATTTGCAGCTGGAGATTTCAAGCGCTTTGAGGCCTACGGTAGAAAAGGAAACATCTTCTTATAAAATCTAGACAGAATCATTCACAGAAACTTCTTTTTGATGTGTGTGTTCAGCTCACAGAGTTTAACCTTTCTTTTGATGGAGCAGTTTGGAAACACTCTGTTTGTAATGTCTGCAAGTGGATATTTGGACCTTTTGAGGCCTTCGTTGGAAACGGGATTTCTTCATGTAATGTTCGACAGAAGAATTCTCAGTAACTTATTTGTGGTGTGTGTATTCACCTCACAGAGTTGAACCTTCCTTTAGACAGAGCAGATTTGAAACACCCTATTTGTGCAGTTTCCAGTTGGAGATTTCAATCGCTTTGAGACCAAATGTAGAAAAGGAAACATCTTCGTATAAAAACTAGACAGAATCATTCTCAGAAACTACTTTGTGATGTGTGCGTTCAACTCAAGGAGTTTAACCTTTCTTTTCATAGAGTAGTTTGGAAACACTCTGTCTGTAAAGTCTGCAAGCAGATATTTGGACCTCTTTGGGGCCTTCGTTGGAAACGGGATTTCTTCATAGAACGCTAGAAAGAAGAATACTGAGTAAGTTCTTTGTGTTGCCTCTATTCAACTCACAGAGGTGAACTGTCCTTTAGACAGAGCAGATGTGAAACCCTCTTTTTGTGATATTTGCAGGTGGAGATTTCAGGCGCTTTTAGGCCAAATGTAGAAAAGGAAATATCTTCGTATAAAAACTAGACAGAATCATTCTCAGAAACTACTTTGTGAGGTGTGCGTTCAATTCACAGAGTATAACCTTTCTTTTGATGGAGGAGTTTGGAGACACTGTCTTTGTAAAGTCTGCAAGTGGATATTTGGATCTCTTTGAGGCCTTCGTTGGAAACGGGATTTCCTCATATAATGTTACACAGAAGAATTCTCAGTAACTTATTTGTGGTGTGTGTATTCAACTCACAGAGATGAACCTTCCTTCAGAAAGAGCAGATTTGAAACACTCTTTTTGTGGAGTTTCCATGTGGAGATTTCAATCGCTTTGAGACCAAAGGTAGAAAAGGAAACATCTTCGTATAAAAACTAGACAGAATCATTCACAGAAACTACTTTGTGATGTGTGTGTTCAACTCAAGGAGTTTAACCTTTCTTTTGATGGAGCAGTTTGGAAACACTCTGTCTGTAAAGTCTGCAAGCAGATATTTGGACCTCTTTGAGGCCTTCGTTGGAAACGGGATTTCTTCATATAATGTTTGATAGGAGAAGTCTCAGTAACTTCTTTGTGCTGTGTGTATTCAACTCATAGAGTTGAACTTTCCTTTAGAAGAGCAGATGTTAAACACCCTTTTTGTGGAATTTGCAGCTGGAGATTTCAAGCGCTTTGAGGCCTACGGTAGAAAAGGAAACATCTTCTTATAAAATCTAGACAGAATCATTCACAGAAACTTCTTTTTGATGTGTGTGTTCAGCTCACAGAGTTTAACCTTTCTTTTGATGGAGCAGTTGGGAAACACACTGTTTGTAATGTCTGCAAGTGGATATTTGGACCTCTTTGAGGCCTTCGTTGGAAACGGGATTTCTTCCTGTAATGTTCGACAGAAGAATTCTCAGTAACTTATTTGTGGTGTGTGTATTCAACTCAAAGAGTTGAACCTTCCTTTAGACAGAGCAGATTTGAAACACCCTATTTGTGCAGTTTCCAGTTGGAGATTTCAATCGCTTTGAGACCAAATGTAGAAAAGGAAACATCTTCGTATAAAAACTAGACAGAATCATTCTCAGAAACTACTTTGTGATGTGTGCGTTCAACACAAGGAGTTTAAGCTTTCTTTTCATAGAGTAGTTTGGAAACACTCTGTCTGTAAAGTCTGCAAGCAGATATTTGGACCTCATTGGGGTCTTCGTTGGAAACGGGATTTCTTCATAGAACGCTTGAAAGAAGAATACTGAGTAAGTTCTTTGTGTTGCCTCTATTCAACTCACAGAGGTGAACTGTCCTTTAGACAGAGCAGATGTGAAACCCTCTTTTTGGGATATTTGCAGGTGGAGATTTCAAGCGCTTTTAGGCCAAATGTAGAAAAGGAAATATCTTCGTATAAAAACTAGACAGAATCATTCTCAGAAACTACTTTGTGATGTGTGCGTTCAATTAACAGAGTATAACCTTTCTTTTGATGGAGCAGTTTGGAGACACTGTCTTTGAAAAGTCTGCAAGCAGATATTTGGACCTCTCTGAGGCCATCGTTGGAAATGGGATTTCTTCATATAATGTTTGATAGGAGAATTCTCAGTAACTTATTTGTGGTGTGTGTATTCAACTCACAGAGTTGAACCTTCCTTCAGAAAGAGCAGATTTGAAACACTCTTTTGGTGGAGTTTCCATGTGGAGATTTCAATCGCTTTGAGACCAAAGGTAGAAAAGGAAACATCTTCGTATAAAAACTAGACAGAATCATTCACAGAAACTACTTTGTGATGTGTGTATTCAGCTCACAGAGTTTAACCTTTCTTTTGATGGTGCAATTTGGAAACACTCTGTTTGACAAGTCTGCAAGTGGATATTTGGACCTCTTTGAGGCCTTCATTGGAAACGGGATTTCTTCATATAATGTTAGACAGAAGAAGTCTCAGTATCTTCTTAGTGCTGTGTGTATTCAACTCACAGAGCTGAACTTTACTTTAGACAGAGCAGATGTTAAACACCCTTTTTGTGGAATTTGCAGCTGGAGATTTCAAGCGCTTTGAGGACTATGGTAGAAAAGGAAACATCTTCTTATAAAATCTAGACAGAATCATTCACAGAAACTTCTTTTCGATGTGTGTGTTCAGCTCACAGAGTTTAACCTTTCTTTTGATGGAGCAGTTTGGAAACACTCTGTTTGTAATGTCTGCAAGTGGATATTTGGACCTCTTTGAGGCCTTCGTTGGAAACGGGATTTCATCAAGTAATGGTCGACAGAAGAATTCTCAGTAACTTATTTGTGGTGTGTGTATTCAACTCAAAGAGTTGAACCTTCCTTTAGACAGAGCAGATTTGAAACACCCTATTTGTGCAGTTTCCAGTTGGAGATTTCAATCGCTTTGAGACCAAATGTAGAAAAGGAAACATCTTCGTATAAAAACTAGACAGAATCATTCTCAGAAACTACATTGTGATTTGTGCGTTCAAGTCACCGAGTTTAAGCTTTCTTTTCATAGAGTATTTTGGAAACACTCTGTTTGTAAAGTCTACACGCAGATATTTGGACCTCTTTGAGGCCTTCGTTGGAAACGGGATTTCTTCATATAACGCTAGAAAGAAGAATACTGAGTAAGTTCTTTGTGTTGCCTCTATTCAACTCACAGAGGTGAACTGTCCTTTAGACAGAGCAGATGTGAAACCCTCTTTTTGTGATATTTGCAGGTGGAGATTTCAAGCGCTTTTAGGCCAAATGTAGAAAAGGAAATATCTTCGTATTAAAACTAGACAGAATCATTCTCAGAAACTACTTTGTGATGTGTGCGTTCAATTCACAGAGTATAACCTTTCTTTTGATGGAGGAGTTTGGAGACACTGTCTTTGTAAAGTCTGCAAGTGGATATTTGGACCTCTTTGAGGCCTTCGTTGGAAACGGGATTTCCTCATATAATGTTACACAGAAGAATTCTCAGTAACTTATTTGTGGTGTGTGTATTCAACTCACAGAGTTGAACCTTCCTTCAGAAAGAGCAGATTTGAAACACTCTTTTTGTGGAGTTTCCATGTGGAGATTTCAATCGCATTGAGACCAAAGGTAGAAAAGGAAACATCTTCGTATAAAAACTAGACAGAATCATTCACAGAAACTACTTTGTGATGTGTGTGTTCAACTCAAGGAGTTTAACCTTTCTTTTGATGGAGCAGTTTGGAAACACTCTGTCTGTAAAGTCTGCAAGCAGATATTTGGACCTCTTTGAGGCCTTCGTTGGAAACGGGATTTCTTCATATAATGTTTGATAGGAGAAGTCTCAGTAACTTCTTTGTGCTGTGTGTATTCAACTCATAGAGTTGAACTTTCCTTTAGAAGAGCAGATCTTAAACACCCTTTTTGTGGAATTTGCAGTTGGAGATTTCAAGCGCTTTGAGGACTACAGTAGAAAAGGAAACATCTTATAAAATCTAGACAGAATCATTCACAGAAACATCTTTTTGATGTGTGTGTTCAGCTCACAGAGTTTAACCTTTCTTTTGATGGAGCAGTTTGGAAACACTCTGTTTGTAATGTCTGCATGTGGATATTTGGACCTCTTGGAGGCCTTCGTTGGAAACGGGATTTCTTCATGTAATGTTCGACAGAAGAATTCTCAGTAACTTATTTGTGTTGTGTGTATTCAACTCACAGAGTTGAGCCTTCCTTTAGACAGAACAGATTTGAAACACCCTATTTGTGCAGTTTACAGTTGGAGATTTCAATTGCTTTGAGGCCATAGAAACGGAAATACATTTGTATAAAAACAAGACAGGATCATTCTCAGAAACTACTTTGTGATGTGTGCGTTCAACTCAAGGAGTTTAAGCTTTCTTTTCATAGAGTAGTTTGGAAACACTCTGTCTGTAAAGTGTGCAAGCAGATATTTGGACCTCTTTGAGGCCTTCGTTGGAAACGGGATTTCTTCATAGAACGCTAGAAAGAAGAATACTGAGTAAGTTCTTTGTGTTGCCTCTATTCAACTCACAGAGGTGAACTGTCCTTTAGACAGAGCAGATGTGAAACCCTCTTTTTGTGATATTTGCAGGTGGAGATTTCAAGCGTTTTCAGGCCAAATGTAGAAAAGGAAATATCTTCGTATAAAAACTAGACAGAATCATTCTCAGAAACTACTTTGTGATGTGTGCGTTCAATTCACAGAGTATAACCTTTCTTTTGATGGAGGAGTTTGGAGACACTGTCTTTGTAAAGTCTGCAAGCAGATATTTGGACCTCTTTGAGGCCTTCGTTGGAAACGGGATTTCTTCATATGATGTTTGATAGGAGAATTCTCAGTAACTTATTTGTGGTGTGTGTATTCAACTCACAGAGTTGAAACTTCCTTCAGAAAGAGCAGATTTGAAACACTCTTTTTGTGGAGTTTCCATGTGGAGATTTCAATCGCTTTGAGACCAAAGGTAGAAAAGGAAACATTCTTCGTATAAAAACTAGACAGAATCATTCACAGAAACTACTTTGTGATGTGTGTGTTCAACTCAAGGAGTTTAACCTTTCTTTTGATGGAGCAGTTTGGAAACTGTCTGTAAAGTCTGCAAGCAGATATTTGGACCTCTTTGAGGCCTTCGTTGGAAACGGGATTTCTTCATATAATGTTTGATAGGAGAAGTCTCAGTAACTTCTTTGTGCTGTGTGTATTCAACTCACAGAGCTGAACTTTACTTTAGACAGAGCAGATGTTAAACACACTTTTTGTGGAATTTGCAGCTGGAGATTTCTAGCGCTTTGAGGCCTATGGTAGAAAAGGAAACATCTTCTTATAAAATCTAGACAGAATCATTCACAGAAACTTCTTTTTCATGTGTGTGTTCAGCTCACAGAGTTTAACCTTTGTTTTGATGGAGCAGTTTGGAAACACTCTGTTTGTAATGTCTGCAAGTGGATATTTGGACCTCTTTGAGGCCTTCGTTGGAAACGGGTTTTCTTCAAGTAATGTTCGACAGAAGAATTCTCAGTAACTTATTTGTGGTGTGTGTATTCAACTCAAAGAGTTGAACCTTCCTTTAGACAGAGCAGATTTGAAACACCCTATTTGTGCAGTTTCCAGTTGGAGATTTCAATCGCTTTGAGACCAAATGTAGAAAAGGAAACATCTTCGTATAAAAACTAGACAGAATCATTCTCAGAAACTACTTTGTGATGTGTGCGTTCAACTCAAGGAGTTTAAGCTTTCTTTTCATAGAGTAGTTTGGAAACACTCTGTCTGTAAAGTCTGCAAGCAGATATTTGGACCTCTTTGGGGCCTTCGTTGGAAACGGGATTTCTTCATAGAACGCTAGAAAGAAGAATACTGAGTAAGTTCTTTGTGTTGCCTCTATTCAACTCACAGAGGTGAACTGTCCTTTAGACAGAGCAGATGTGAAACCCTCTTTTTGTGATATTTGCAGGTGGAGATTTCAAGCGCTTTTAGGCCAAATGTAGAAAAGGAAATATCTTCGTATAAAAACTAGACAGAATCATTCTCAGAAACTTCTTTGTGATGTGTGCGTTCAATTCACAGAGTATAACCTTTCTTTTGATGGAGGAGTTTGGAGACACTGTCTTTGTAAAGTCTGCAAGTGGATATTTGGACCTCTTTGAGGCCTTCGTTGGAAACGGGATTTCCTCATATAATGTTACACAGAAGAATTCTCAGTAACTTATTTGTGGTGTGTGTATTCAACTCACAGAGATGAACCTTCCTTCAGAAAGAGCAGATTTGAAACACTCTTTTTGTGGAGTTTCCATGTGGAGATTTCAATCGCTTTGAGACCAAAGGTAGAAAAGGAAACATCTTCGTATAAAAACTAGACAGAATCATTCACAGAAACTACTTTGTGATGTGTGTTTTCAACTCAAGGAGTTTAACCTTTCTTTTGATGGAGCAGTTTGGAAAAACTCTGTCTTTAAAGTCTGCAAGCAGATATTTGGACCTCTTTGAGGCCTTCGTTGGAAACGGGATTTCTTCATATAATGTTTGATAGGAGAAGTCTCAGTAACTTCTTTGTGCTGTGTGTATTCAACTCATAGAGTTGAACTTTCCTTTAGAAGAGCAGATGTTAAACACCCTTTTTGTGGAATTTGCAGCTGGAGATTTCAAGCGCTTTGAGGCCTACGGTAGAAAAGGAAACATCTTCTTATAAAATCTAGACAGAATCATTCACAGAAACTTCTTTTTGATGTGTGTGTTCAGCTCACAGAGTTTAACCTTTCTTTTGATGGAGCAGTTTGGAAACACTCTGTTTGTAATGTCTGCAAGTGGATATTTGGACCTCTTTGAGGCCTTCGTTGGAAACGGGATTTCTTCAAGTAATGTTCGACAGAAGAATTCTCAGTAACTTATTTGCGGTGTGTGTATTCAACTCACAGAGTTGAACCTTCCTTTAGACAGAGCAGATTTGAAACACCCTATTTGTGCAGTTTCCAGTTGGAGATTTCAATCGCTTTGAGACCAAATGTAGAAAAGGAAACATCTTCGTATAAAAACTAGACAGAATCATTCTCCGAAACTACTTTGTGATGTGTGCGTTCAACTCAAGGAGTTTAAGCTTTCTTTTCATAGAGTAGTTTGGAAACACTCTGTCTGTAAAGTCTGCAAGCAGATATTTGGACCTCTTTGGGGCCTTCGTTGGAAACGGGATTTCTTCATAGAACGCTAGAAAGAAGAATACTGAGTAAGTTCTTTGTGTTGCCTCTATTCAACTCACAGAGGTGAACTGTCCTTTAGACAGAGCAGATGTGAAACCCTCTTTTTGTGATATTTGCAGGTGGAGATTTCAAGCGCTTTTAGGCCAAATGTAGAAAAGGAAATATCTTTGTATAAAAACTAGACAGAATCATTCTCAGAAACTACTTTGTGATGTGTGCGTTCAATTCACAGAGTATAACCTTTCTTTTGATGGAGGAGTTTGGAGACACTGTCTTTGTAAAGTCTGCAAGTGGATATTTGGACCTCTTTGAGGCCTTCGTTGGAAACGGGATTTCCTCATATAATGTTACACAGAAGAATTCTCAGTAACTTACTTGTGGTGTGTGTATTCAACTCACAAAGTTGAACCTTCCTTCAGAAAGAGCAGATTTGAAACACTCTTTTTGTCGAGTTTCCATGGGGAGATTTCAATGGCTTTGAGACCAAAGGTAGAAAAGGAAACATCTTCGTATAAAAACTAGACAGAATCATTCACAGAAACTACTTTGTGATGTGTGTGTTCAACTCACAGAGTTTAACCTTTCTTTGGATGGAGCAGTTTGGAAACACTCTGTTTGTCACGTCTGCAAGTGGATATTTGGACCTCTTTGAGGCCTTCGTTGGAAACGGGATTTCTTCATATAATGTTTGATAGGAGAAGTCTCAGTAACTTCTTGTGCTGTGTGTGTTCAACTCTATGAGTTGAACTTTCCTTTAGAAAAGCAGATGTTAAACACCCTTTTTGTGGAATTTGCAGCTGGAGATTTCAAGCGCTTTGAGGCCTACGGTAGAAAAGGAAACATCTTCTTATAAAATCTAGACAGAATCATTCACAGAAACTTCTTTTTGATGTGTGTGTTCAGCTCACAGAGTTTAACCTTTCTTTTGATGGAGCAGTTTGGAAACACTCTGTTGTAATGTCTGCAAGTGGATATTTGGACCTCTTTGAGGCCTTCGTTGCAAACGGGATTTCTTCAAGTAATGTTCGACAGAAGAATTCTCAGTAACTTATTTGTGGTGTGTGTATTCAACACACAGAGCTGAACCTTCCTTTAGACAGAGCAGATTTGAAACAGCCTATTTGTGCAGTTTCCAGTTGGAGATTTCAATCGCTTTGAGACCAAATGTAGAAAAGGAAACATCTTCGTATAAAAACTAGACAGAATCATTCTCAGAAACTACTTTGTGATGTGTGCGTTCAACTCAAGGAGTTTAAGCTTTCTTTTCATAGAGTAGTTTGGAAACACTCTGTCTGTAAAGTCTGCAAGCAGATATTTGGACCTCTTTGAGGCCTTCGTTGGAAACGGGATTTCTTCATAGAACGCTAGAAAGAAGAATACTGAGTAAGTTCTTTGTGTTGCCTCTATTCAACTCACAGAGGTGAACTGTCCTTTAGACAGAGCAGATGTGAAACCCTCTTTTTGTGATATTTGCAGGTGGAGATTTCAAGCACTTTTAGGCCAAATGTAGAAAAGGAAATATCTTCGTATAAAAACTAGACAGAATCATTCTCAGAAACTACTTTGTGATGTGTGCGTTCAATTCACAGAGTATAACCTTTCTTTTGATGGAGGAGTTTGGAGACACTGTCTTTGTAAAGTCTGCAAGTGGATATTTGGACCTCTTTGAGGCCTTCGTTGGAAACGGGATTTCCTCATATAATGTTACACAGAAGAATTCTCAGTAACTTATTTGTGGTGTGTGTATTCAACTCACAGAGTTGAACCTTCCTTCAGAAAGAGCAGATTTGAAACTCTCTTTTTGTGGAGTTTCCATGTGGAGATTTCAATCGCTTTGAGACCAAAGGTAGAAAAGGAAACATCTTCGTATAAAAACTAGACAGAATCATTCACAGAAACTACTTTGTGATGTGTGTGTTCAACTCACAGAGTTTAACCTTTCTTTTGATGGAACAGTTTGGAAACACTCTGTTTGTCACGTCTGCAAGTGGATATTTGGACCTCTTTGAGGCCTTCGTTGGAAACGGGATTTCTTCCTATAATGTTTGATAGGAGAAGTCTCAGTAACTTCTTTGTGCTGTGTGTATTCAACTCATAGAGTTGAACTTTCCTTTAGAAGAGCAGATGGTAAACACCCTTTTTGTGGAATTTGCAGCTGGAGATTTCAAGCGCTTTGAGGCCTACGGTAGAAAAGGAAACATCTTCTTATAAAATCTAGACAGAATCATTCACAGAAACTTCTTTTTGATGTGTGTGTTCAGCTCACAGAGTTTGACCTTTCTTTTGATGGAGCAGTTTGGAAACACTCTGTTTGTAATGTCTGCAAGGGGATATTTGGACCTCTTTGAGGCCTTCGTTGGAAACGGGATTTCTTCATGTAATGGTCGACAGAAGAATTCTCAGTAACTTATTTGTGGTGTGTGTATTCAACTCACAGAGTTGAACCTTCCTTTAGACAGAGCAGATTTGAAACACCCTATTTGTGCATTTTCCAGTTGGAGATTTCAATCGCTTTGAGGCCAATCATAGAAACGGAAATATCTTCGTATAAAAACAAGACAGAATCATTCTCAGAAACTACTTTGTGATGTGTGCGTTCAACTCAAGGAGTTTAAGCTTTCTTTTCATAGAGTAGTTTGGAAACACTCTGTCTGTAAAGTCTGCAAGCAGATATTTGGACCTCTTTGAGGCCTTCTTTGGAAACGGGATTTCTTCATATAACGCTAGAAAGAAGAATACTGAGTAAGTTCTTTGTGTTGCCTCTATTCAACTCACAGAGGTGAACTGTCCTTTAGACAGAGCAGATGTGAAAACCTCTTTTTGTGATATTTGCAGGTGGAGATTTCAAGCGCTTTTAGGCCAAATGTAGAAAAGGAAATATCTTCGTATAAAAACTAGACAGAATCATTCTCAGAAACTACTTTGTGATGTGTGTGTTCAACTCACAGAGTATAACCTTTCTTTTGATGGAGGAGTTTGGAGACACTGTCTTTGTAAAGTCTGCAAGCAGATATTTGGACCTCTTTGAGGCCATCGTTGGAAACGGGATTTCTTCATATAATGTTTGATAGGAGAATTCTCAGTAACTTATTTGTGGTGTGTGTATTCAACTCACAGAGTTGAACCTTCCTTCAGAAAGAGCAGATTTGAAACACTCTTTTTGTGGAGTTTCCATGTGGAGATTTCAATCGCATTGAGACCAAAGGTAGAAAAGGAAACATCTTCGTATAAAAACTAGACAGAATCACTCACAGAAACTACTTTGTGATGTGTGTGTTCAACTCAAGGAGGTTAACCTTTCTTTTGATGGAGCAGTTTGGAAACACTCTGTCTGTAAAGTTTGTGAGCAGATATTTGGACTTCTTTGAGGCCTTCGTTGGAAGCGGGATTTCTTCATATAATGTTTGATAGGAGAAGTCTCAGTAACTTCTTTGTGCTGTGTGTATTCAACTCATAGAGTTGAACTTTCCTTTAGAAGAGCAGATGTTAAACACCCTTTTTGTGGAATTTGCAGCTGGAGATTTCAAGCGCTTTGAGGCCTACGGTAGAAAAGGAAACATCTTCTTATAAAATCTAGACAGAATCATTCACAGAAACTTCTTTTTGATGTGTGTGTTCAGCTCACAGAGTTTAACCTTTCTTTTGATGGAGCAGTTTTGGAAACACTCTGTTTGTAATGTCTGCAAGTGGATATTTGGACCTCTTTGAGGCCTTCGTTGGAAACGGGATTTCTTCAAGTAATGTTCGACGGAAGAATTCTCAGTAACTTATTTGTGGTGTGTGTATTCAACTCACAGAGTTGAACCTTCCTTTAGACAGAGCAGATTTGAAACACCCTATTTGTGCAGTTTCCAGTTGGAGATTTCAATCGCTTTGAGACCAAATGTAGAAAAGGAAACATCTTCGTATAAAAACTAGACAGAATCATTCTCAGAAACTACTTTGTGATGTGTGCGTTCAACTCAAGGAGTTTAAGCTTTCTTTTCATAGAGTAGTTTGGAAACACTCTGTCTGTAAAGTCTGCAAGCAGATATTTGGACCTCTTTGAGGCCTTCGTTGGAAACGGGATTTCTTCAAGTAATGTTCGACAGAAGAATACTCAGAAAGTTCTTTGTGTTGCCTCTATTGAACTCACAGAGGTGAACTGTCCTTTAGACAGAGCAGATGTGAAAGCCTCTTTTTGTGATATTTGCAGGTGGAGATTTCAAGCGCTTTTAGGCCAAATGTAGAAAAGGAAATATCTTCGTATAAAAACTAGACAGAATCATTCTCAGAAACTACTTTGTGATGTGTGCGTTCAATTCACAGAGTATAACCTTTCTTTTGATGGAGGAGTTTGGAGACACTGTCTTTGTAAAGTCTGCAAGTGGATATTTGGACCTCTTTGAGGCCTTCGTTGGAAACGGGATTTCCTCATATAATGTTACCCAGAAGAATTCTCAGTAACTTATTTGTGGTGTGTGTATTCAACTCACAGAGTTGAACCTTCCTTCAGAAAGAGCAGATTTGAAACACTCTTTTTGTGGAGTTTCCATGTGGAGATTTCAATCGCTTTGAGACCAAAGGTAGAAAAGGAAACATCTTCGTATAAAAACTAGACAGAATCATTCACAGAAACTACTTTGTGATGTGTGTGTTCAACTCAAGGAGGTTAACCTTTCTTTTGATGGAGCAGTTTGGAAACACTCTGTCTGTAAAGTCTGCAAGCAGATATTTGGACCTCTTTGAGGCCTTCGTTGGAAACGGGATTTCTTCATATAATGTTTGATAGGAGAAGTCTCAGTAACTTCTTTGTGCTGTGTGTATTCAACTCATAGAGTTGAACTTTCCTTTAGAAGAGCAGATGTTAAACACCCTTTTTGTGGAATTTGCAGCTGGAGATTTCAAGCGCTTTGAGGCCTACGGTAGAAAAGGAAACATCTTCTTATAAAATCTAGACAGAATCATTCACAGAAACTTCTTTTTGATGTGTGTGTTCCGCTCACAGAGTTTAACCTTTCTTTTGATGGAGCAGTTTGGAAACACTCTGTTTGTAATGTCTGCAAGTGGATATTTGGACCTCTTTGAGGCCTTCGTTGGAAACGGGATTTCTTCCTGTAATGTTCGACAGAAGAATTCTCAGTAACTTATTTGTGGTGTGTGTATTCAACTCACAGAGTTGAACCTTCCTTTAGACAGAGCAGATTTGAAACACCCTATTTGTGCAGTTTCCAGTTGGAGATTTCAATCGCTTTGAGACCAAATGTAGAAAAGGAAACATCTTCGTATAAAAACTAGACAGAATCATTCTCAGAAACTACTTTGTGATGTGTGCGTTCAACTCAAGGAGTTTAAGCTTTCTTTTCATAGAGTAGTTTGGAAACACTCTGTCTGTTAAGTCTGCAAGCAGATATTTGGACCTCTTTGGGGCCTTCGTTGGAAACGGGATTTCTTCATAGAACGCTAGAAAGAAGAATACTGAGTAAGTTCTTTGTGTTGCCTCTATTCAACTCACAGAGGTGAACTGTCCTTTAGACAGAGCAGATGTGAAACCCTCTTTTTGTGATATTTGCAGGTGGAGATTTCAAGCGCTTTTAGGCCAAATGTATAAAAGGAAATATCTTCGTATAAAAACTAGACAGAATCATTCTCAGAAACTACTTTGTGATGTGTGCGTTCAATTCACAGAGTATAACCTTTCTTTTGATGGAGGAGTTTGGAGACACTGTCTTTGTAAAGTCTGCAAGTGGATATTTGGACCTCTTTGAGGCCTTCGTTGGAAACGGGATTTCCTCATATAATGTTACACAGAAGAATTCTCAGTAACTTATTTGTGGTGTGTGTATTCAACTCATAGAGTTGAACCTTCCTTCAGAAAGAGCAGATTTGAAACACTCTTTTTGTGGAGTTTCCATGTGGAGATTTCAATCGCATTGAGACCAAAGGTAGAAAAGGAAACATCTTCGTATAAAAACTAGACAGAATCATTCACAGAAACTACTTTGTGATGTGTGTGTTCAACTCAAGGAGTTTAACCTTTCTTTTGATGGAGCAGTTTGGAAACACTCTGTCTGTAAAGTCTGCAAGCAGACATTTGGACCTCTTTGAGGCCTTCGTTGGAAACGGGATTTCTTCATATAATGTTTGATAGGAGAAGTCTCAGTAACTTCTTTGTGCTGTGTGTATTCAACTCACAGAGCTGAACTTTACTTTAGACAGAGCAGATGTTAAACACACTTTTTTTGGAATTTGCAGGTGGAGATTTCTAGCGCTTTGAGGCCTACGGTAGAAAAGGAAACATCTTCTTATAAAATCTAGACAGAATCATTCACAGAAACTGCTTTCTAATGTGTGTGTTCATCTCACAGAGTTTAACCTTTCTTTTGATGGAGCAGTTTGGAAACACACTGTTTGTAATGTCTGCAAGTGGATATTTGGACCTCTTTCAGGCCTTCGTTGGAAACGGGATTTCTTCCTGTAATGTTCGACAGAAGAATTCTCAGTAACTTATTTGTGGTGTGTGTATTCAACTCACAGAGTTGAACCTTCCTTTAGACAGAGCAGATTTGAAACACCCTATTTGTGCAGTTTCCAGTTGGAGATTTCAATCGCTTTGTGACCAAATGTAGAAAAGGAAACATCTTCGTATAAAAACTAGACAGAATAATTCTCAGAAACTACTTTGTGATGTGTGCGTTCAACTCAAGGAGTTTAAGCTTTCTTTTCATAGAGTAGTTTGGAAACACTCTGTCTGTAAAGTCTGCAAGCAGATATTTGGACCTCTTTGAGGCCTTCGTTGGAAACGGGATTTCTTCATATAATGCTAGAAAGAAGAATACTGAGTAAGTTCTTTGTGTTGCCTCTATTCAACTCACAGAGGTGAACTGTCCTTTAGACAGAGCAGATGTGAAACCCTCTTTTTGTGATATTTGCAGGTGGAGATTTGAAGCGCTTTTAGGCCAAATGTAGAAAAGGAAATATCTTCATATAAAAACTAGACAGAATCATTCTCAGAAACTACTTTGTGATGTGTGCGTTCAATTCACAGAGTATAACCTTTCTTTTGATGGAGGAGTTTGGAGACACTGTCTTTGTAAAGTCTGCAAGTGGATATTTGGACCTCTTTGAGGCCTTCGTTGGAAACGGGATTTCCTCATATAATGTTACACAGAAGAATTCTCAGTAACTTATTTGTGGTGTGTGTATTCAACTCACAGAGTTGAACCTTCCTTCAGAAAGAGCAGATTTGAAACACTCTTTTTGTGGAGTTTCCATGTGGAGATTTCAATCGCTTTGAGACCAAAGGTAGAAAAGGAAACATCTTTGTATAAAAACTAGACAGAATCATTCACAGAAACTACTTTGTGATGTGTGTGTTCAACTCAAGGAGTTTAACCTTTCTTTTGATGGAGCAGTTTGGAAACACTCTGTCTGTAAAGTCTGCAAGCAGATATTTGGACCTCTTTGAGGCCTTCGTTGGAAATGGGATTTCTTCATATAATGTTTGATAGGAGAAGTCTCAGTAACTTCTTTGTGCTGTGTGTATTCAACTCATAGAGTTGAACTTTCCTTTAGAAGAGCAGATGTTAAACACCCTTTTTGTGGAATTTGCAGCTGGAGATTTCAAGCGCTTTGAGGCCTACGGTAGAAAAGGAAACATCTTCTTATAAAATCTAGACAGAATCATTCACAGAAACTTCTTTTTGATGTGTGTGTTCAGCTCACAGAGTTTAACCTTTCTTTTGATGGAGCAGTTTGGAAACACTCTGTTTGTAATGTCTGCAAGTGGATATTTGGACCTCTTTGAGGCCTTCGTTGGAAACGGGATTTCTTCATGTAATGTTCGACAGAAGAATTCTCAGCAACTTATTTGTGGTGTGTGTATTCAACTCACAGAGTTGAACCTTCCTTTAGACAGAGCAGATTTGAAACACCCTATTTGTGCAGTTTCCATTTGGAGATTTCAAACGCTTTGAGAACAAATGTAGAAAAGGAAACATCTTCGTATAAAAACTAGACAGAATCATTCTCAGAAACTACTTTGTGATGTGTGCGTTCAACTCAAGGAGTTTAAGCTTTCTTTTCATAGAGTAGTTTGGAAACACTCTGTCTGTAAAGTCTGCAAGCAGATATTTGGACCTCTTTGGGGCCTTCGTTGGAAACGGGATTTCTTCATAGAACGCTAGAAAGAAGAATACTGAGTAAGTTCTTTGTGTTGCCTCTATTCAACTCACAGAGGTGAACTGTCCTTTAGACAGAGCAGATGTGAAACCCTCTTTTTGTGATATTTGCAGGTGGAGATTTCAAGCGCTTTTAGGCCAAATGTAGAAAAGGAAATATCTTCGTATAAAAACTAGACAGAAATCATTCTCAGAAACTACTTTGTGATGTGTGCGTTCAATTCACAGAGTATAACCTTTCTTTTGATGGAGGAGTTTCGAGACACTGTCTTTTTAAAGTCTGCAAGTGGATATTTGGACCTCTTTGAGGCCTTCGTTGGAAACGGGATTTCCTCATATAATGTTACACAGAAGAATTCTCAGTAACTTATTTGTGGTGTGTGTATTCAACTCACAGAGTTGAACCTTCCTTCAGAAAGAGCAGATTTGAAACACTCTTTTTGTGGAGTTTCCATGTGGAGATTTCAATCGCTTTGAGACCAAAGGTAGAAAAGGAAACATCTTCGTATAAAAACTAGACAGAATCATTCACAGTAAACTACTTTGTGATGTGTGTGTTCAACTCAAGGAGTTTAACCTTTCTTTTGATGGAGCTGTTTGGAAAAACTCTGTCTGTAAAGTCTGCAAGCAGATATTTGGACCTCTTTGGGGCCTTCGTTGGAAACGGGATTTCTTCATATAATGTTTGATAGGAGAAGTCTCAGTAACTTCTTTGTGCTGTGTGTATTCAACTCATAGAGTTGAACTTTCCTTTAGAAGAGCAGATGTTAAACACCCTTTTTGTGGAATTTGCAGCTGGAGATTTCAAGCGCTTTGAGTCCTACGGTAGAAATGGAAACATCTTATAAAATCTTGACAGAATCATTCACAGAAACTACTTTGTGTTGTGTGTGTTCAGCTCACAGAGTTTAACCTATCTTTTGATGGTGCAGTTTGGAAACACTCTGTTTGACAAGTCTGCAAGTGGATATTTGGACCTCTTTGAGGCCTTCGTTGGAAACTGGATTTCTTCATATAATGTTAGACAGAAGAATTCTCAGTAACTTATTTGTGCTGTGTGTATTCAACTCACAGAGTTGAACCTTCCTTTAGACAGAGCAGATTTGAAACACCCTATTTGTGCAGTTTCCAGTTGGAGATTTCAATCGCTTTGAGACCAAATGTAGAAAAGGAAACATCTTCGTATAAAAACTAGACAGAAATCATTCTCAGAATCTACTTTGTGATGTGTGCGTTCAACTCAAGGAGTTTAACCTTTCTTTTCATAGAGTAGTTTGGAAACACTCTGTCTGTAAAGTCTGCAAGCAGATATTTGGACCTCTTTGGGGCCTTCGTTGGAAACGGGATTTCTTCATAGAACGCTAGAAAGAAGAATACTGAGTAAGTTCTTTGTGTTGCCTCTATTCAACTCACAGAGGTGAACTGTCCTTTAGACAGAGCAGATGTGAAACCCTCTTTTTGTGATATTTGCAGGTGGAGATTTCAAGCGCTTTTAGGCCAAATGTAGAAAAGGAAATATCTTTGTATAAAAACTAGACAGAATCATTCTCAGAAACTACTTTGTGATGTGTGCGTTCAATTCACAGAGTATAACCTTTCTTTTGATGGAGGAGTTTGGAGACACTGTCTTTGTAAAGTCTGCAAGCAGATATTTGGACCTCTTTGAGGCCTTCGTTGGAAACGGGATTTCTTCATATAATGTTTGATAGGAGAATTCTCAGTAACTTATTTGTGGTGTGTGTATTCAACTCACAGAGATGAACCTTCCTTCAGAAAGAGCAGATTTGAAACACTCTTTTTGTGGAGTTTCCATGTGGAGATTTCAATCGCTTTGAGACCAAAGGTAGAAAAGGAAACATCTTCGTATAAAAACTAGACAGAATCATTCACAGAAACTGCTTTGTAATGTGTGTGTTCAGCTCACAGAGTTTAACCTTTCTTTTGATGGTGCAGTTTGGAAACACTCCGTTTGACAAGTCTGCAAGTGGATATTTGGACCTCTTTGAGGCCTTCGTTGGAAACGGGATTTCTTCATATAATGTTAGACAGAAGAAGTCTCAGTAACTTCTTTGTGCTGTGTGTATTCAACTCACAGAGCTGAACTTTACTTTAGACAGAGCGGATGATAAACACACTTTTTGTGGAATTTGCAGCTGGAGATTTCTAGCGCTTTGAGGCCTATGGTAGAAAAGGAAACATCTTCGTATAAAATCTAGACAGAATCATTCACAGAAACTTCTTTTTGATGTGTGTGTTCAGCTCACAGAGTTTAACCTTTCTTTTGATGGAGCAGTTTGGAAACACACTGTTTGTAAAGTCTGCAAGTGGATATTTGGACCTGTTTGAGGCCTTCGTTGGAAACGGGATTTCTTCATGTAATGTTCGACAGAAGAATTCTCAGTAACTTATTTGTGGTGTGTGTATTCAACTCACAGAGTTGAACCTTCCTTTAGACAGAGCAGATTTGAAACACCCTATTTGTGCAGTTTCCAGTTGGAGATTTCAATCGCTTTGAGACCAAATGTAGAAAAGGAAACATCTTCGTATAAAAACTAGACAGAATCATTCTCAGAAACTACTTTGTGATGTGTGCATTCAACTCAAGGAGTTTAAGCTTTCTTTTCATAGAGTAGTTTGGAAACACTCTGTCTGTAAAGTCTGCAAGCAGATATTTGGACCTCTTTGAGGCCTTCGTTGGAAACGGGATTTCTTCATAGAACGCTAGAAAGAAGAATACTGAGTAAGTTCTTTGTGTTGCCTCTACTCAACTCACAGAGGTGAACTGTCCTTTAGACAGAGCAGATGTGAAACCCTCTTTTTGTGATATTTGCAGGTGGAGATTTCAAGCGCTTTTAGGCCACATGTAGAAAAGGAAATATCTTCGTATAAAAACTAGACAGAATCATTCTCAGAAACTACTTTGTGATGTGTGCATTCAATTCACAGAGTATAACCTTTCTTTTGATGGAGGAGTTTGAAGACACTGTCTTTGTAAAGTCTGCAAGTGGATATTTGGACCTCTTTGAGGCCTTCGTTGGAAACGGGATTTCCTCATATAATGTTACACAGAAGAATTCTCAGTAACTTATTTGTGGTGTGTGTATTCAACTCACAGAGTTGAACCTTCCTTCAGAAAGAGCAGATTTGAAACACTCTTTTTGTGGAGTTTCCATGTGGAGATTTCAATCGCATTGAGACCAAAGGTAGAAAAGGAAACATCTTCGTATAAAAACTAGACAGAATCATTCTCAGAAACTACTTTGTGATGTCTGTGTTCAACTCAAGGAGGTTAACCTTTCTTTTGATGGAGCAGTTTGGAAAAACTCTGTCTGTAAAGTCTGCAAGCAGATATTTGCACCTCTTTGAGGCCTTCTTTGGAAACGGGATTTCTTCATATAATGTTTGATAGGAGAAATCTCAGTAACTTCTTTGTGCTGTGTGTATTCAACTCATAGAGTTGAAATTTCCTTTAGAAGACCAGATGTTAAACACCCTTTTTGTGGAATTTGCAGCTGGAGATTTCAAGCGCTTTGAGGCCTACGGTAGAAAAGGAAACATCTTCTTATAAAATCTAGACAGAATCATTCACAGAAACTTCTTTTCGATGTGTGTGTTCAGCTCACAGAGTTTAACCTTTCTTTTGAAGGAGCAGTTTGGAAACACTCTGTTTGTAATGTCTGCAAGTGGATATTTGGACCTCTTTGAGGCCTTCGTTGGAAACGGGATTTCTTCAAGTAATGGTCGACAGAAGAATTCTCAGTAACTTATTTGTGGTGTGTGTATTCAACTCACAGAGTTGAACCTTCCTTTAGACAGAGCAGATTTGAAACACCCTATTTGTGCAGTTTCCAGTTGGAGATTTCAATCGCTTTGAGACCAAATGTAGAAAAGGAAACATCTTCGTATAAAAACTAGACAGAATCATTCTCAGAAACTACTTTGTGATGTGTGCGTTCAACTCAAGGAGTTTAAGCTTTCTTTTCATAGAGTAGTTTGGAAACACTCTGTCTGTAAAGTCTGCAAGCAGATATTTGGACCTCTTTGAGGCCTTCGTTGGAAACGGGATTTCTTCATAGAACGGTAGAAAGAAGAATACTGAGTAAGTTCTTTGTGTTGCCTCTATTCAACTCACAGAGGTGAACTGTCCTTTAGACAGAGCAGATGTGAAACCCTCTTTTTGTGATATTTGCAGGTGGAGATTTCAAGCGCTTTTAGGCCAAATGTAGAAAAGGAAATATCTTCGTATAAAAACTAGACAGAATCATTCTCAGAAACTACTTTGTGATGTGTGCGTTCAATTCACAGAGTATAACCTTTCTTTTGATGGAGGAGTTTGGAGACACTGTCTTTGTAAAGTCTGCAAGTGGATATTTGGACCTCTTTGAGGCCTTCGTTGGAAACGGGATTTCTTCAAGTAATGTTCGACAGAAGAATTCTCAGTAACTTATTTGTGGTGTGTGTATTCAACTCACAGAGTTGAACCTTCCTTCAGAAAGAGCAGATTTGAAACACTCTTTTTGTGGAGTTTCCATGTGGAGATTTCAATCGCTTTGAGACCAAAGGTAGAAAAGGAAACATCTTCGTATAAAAACTAGACAGAATCATTCACAGAAACTACTTTGTGATGTGTGTGTTCAACTCAAGGAGGTTAACCTTTCTTTTGATGGAGCAGTTTGGAAACACTCTGTCTGTAAAGTCTGCAAGCAGATATTTGGACCTCTTTGAGGCCTTCGTTGGAAACGGGATTTCTTCATATAATGTTTGATAGGAGAAGTCTCAGTAACTTCTTTGTGCTGTGTGTATTCAACTCATAGAGTTGAACTTTCCTTTAGAAGAGCAGATGTTAAACACCCTTTTTGTGGAATTTGCAGCTGGAGATTTCAAGCGCTTTGAGGCCTACGGTAGAAAAGGAAACATCTTCTTATAAAATCTAGACAGAATCATTCACAGAAACTTCTTTTTGATGTGTGTGTTCAGCTCACAGAGTTTAACCTTTCTTTTGATGGAGCAGTTTGGAAACACTCTGTTTGTAATGTCTGCAAGTGGATATTGGGACCTCTTTGAGGCCTTCGTTGGAAACGGGATTTCTTCATGTAATATTCGACAGAAGAATTCTCAGTAACTTATTTGTGGTGTGTGTATTCAACTCACAGAGTTGAACCTTCCTTTAGACAGAGCAGATTTGAAACACCCTATTTGTGCAGTTTCCAGTTGGAGATTTCAATCGCTTTGAGACCAAATGTAGAAAAGGAAACATCTTCGTATAAAAACTAGACAGAATCATTCTCAGAAACTACTTTGTGATGTGTGCGTTCAACTCAAGGAGTTTAAGCTTTCTTTTCATAGAGTAGTTTGGAAACACTCTGTCTGTAAAGTCTGCAAGCAGATATTTGGACCTCTTTGGGGCCTTCGTTGGAAACAGGATTTCTTCATAGAAGGCTAGAAAGAAGAATACTGAGTAAGTTCTTTGTGTTGCCTCTATTCAACTCACAGAGGTGAACTGTCCTTTAGACAGAGCAGATGTGAAACCCTCTTTTTGTGATATTTGCAGGTGGAGATTTCAAGCGCTTTTAGGCCAAATGTAGAAAAGGAAATATCTTCGTATAAAAACTAGACAGAATCATTCTCAGAAACTACTTTGTGATGTGTGCGTTCAATTCACAGAGTATAACCTTTCTTTTGATGGAGGAGTTTGGAGACACTGTCTTTGTAAAGTCTGCAAGTGGATATTTGGACCTCTTTGAGGCCTTCGTTGGAAACGGGATTTCCTCATATAATGTTACCCAGAAGAATTCTCAGTAACTTATTTGTGGTGTGTGTATTCAACTCACAGAGTTGAACCTTCCTTCAGAATGAGCAGATTTGAAACACTCTTTTTGTGGAGTTTCCATGTGGAGATTTCAATCGCTTTGAGACCAAAGGTAGAAAAGGAAACATCTTCGTATAAAAACTAGACAGAATCATTCACAGAAACTACTTTGTGATGTGTGTGTTCAACTCAAGGAGTTTAACCTTTCTTTTGATGGAGCAGTTTGGAAACACTCTGTCTGTAAAGTCTGCAAGTAGATATTTGGACCTCTTTGAGGCCTTCGTTGGAAACGGGATTTCTTCATATAATGTTTGATAGGAGAAGTCTCAGTAACTTCTTTGTGCTGTGTGTATTCAACTCATAGAGTTGAACTTTCCTTTAGAAGAGCAGATGTTAAACACCCTTTTTGTGGAATTTGCAGCTGGAGATTTCAAGCGCTTTGATGCCTACGGTAGAAAAAGAAACATCTTCTTATAAAATCTAGACAGAATCATTCACAGAAAATTCTTTTTGATGTGTGTGTTCAGCTCACAGAGTTTAACCTTTCTTTTGATGGAGCAGTTTGGAAACACACTGTTTGTAATGTCTGCAAGTGGATATTTGGACCTCTTTGAGGCCTTCGTTGGAAACGGGATTTCTTCATATAATGTTTGATAGGAGAATTCTCAGTAACTTATTTGTGGTGTGTGTATTCAACTCACAGAGGTGAACCTTCCTTTAGACAGAGCAGATTTGAAACACCCTATTTGTGCAGTTTCCAGTTGGAGATTTCAATCGCTTTGAGACCAAATGTAGAAAAGGAAACATCTTCGTATAAAAACTAGACAGAATCATTCTCAGAAACTACTTTGTGATGTGTGCGTTCAACTCAAGGAGTTTAAGCTTTCTTTTCATAGAGTAGTTTGGAAACACTCTGTCTGTAAAGTCTGCAAGCAGATATTTGGACCTCTTTGGGGCCTTCGTTGGAAACGGGATTTCTTCATAGAACGCTAGAAAGAAGAATACTGAGGAAGTTCTTTGTGTTGCCTCTATTCAACTCACAGAGGTGAACTGTCCTTTAGACAGAGCAGATGTGAAACAACCTTTTTGTGATATTTGCAGGTGGAGATTTCAAGCGCTTTTAGGCCAAATGTAGAAAAGGAAATATCTTCGTATAAAAACTAGACAGAATCATTCTCAGAAACTACTTTGTGATGTGTGCGTTCAATTCACAGAGTATAACCTTTCTTTTGATGGAGGAGTTTGGAGACACTGTCTTTGTAAAGTCTGCAAGCAGATATTTGGACCTCTTTGAGGCCATCGTTGGAAACGGGATTTCTTCATATAATGTTTGATAGGAGAATTCTCAGTAACTTATTTGTGGTGTGTGTATTCAACTCACAGAGATGAACCTTCCTTCAGAAAGAGCAGATTTGAAACACTCTTTTTGTGGAGTTTCCATGTGGAGATTTCAATCGCTTTGAGACCAAAGGTAGAAAAGGAAACATCTTCGTATAACAACTAGACAGAATCATTCACAGAAACTACTTTGTGATGTGTGTGTTCAACTCAAGGAGTTTAACCTTTCTTTTGATGGAGCAGTTTGGAAACACTCTGTCTGTAAAGTCTGCAAGCAGATATTTGGACCTCTTTGAGGCCTTCGTTGGAAACGGGATTTCTTCATATAATGTTTGATAGGAGAAGTCTCAGTAACTTCTTTGTGCTGTGTGTATTCAACTCATAGAGTTGAACTTTCCTTTAGAAGAGCAGATGTTAAACACCCTTTTTGTGGAATTTGCAGCTGGAGATTTCAAGCGCTTTGAGGCCTACGGTAGAAAAGGAAACATCTTCTTATAAAATCTAGACAGAATCATTCACAGAAACTTCTTTTTGATGTGTGTGTTCAGCTCACAGTGTTTAACCTTTCTTTTGTTGGAGCAGTTTGGAAACACACTGTTTGTAATGTCTGCAAGTGGATATTTGGACCTCTTTGAGGTCTTCGTTGGAAACGGGATTTCTTCATGTAATGTTCGACAGAAGAATTCTCAGTAACTTATTTGTGGTTTGTGTATTCAACTCAAAGAGTTGAACCTTCCTTTAGACAGAGCAGATTTGAAACACCCTATTTGTGCAGTTTCCAGTTGGAGATTTCAATCGCTTTGAGACCAAATGTAGAAAAGGAAACATCTTCGTATAAAAACTAGACAGAATCATTCTCAGAAACTACTTTGTGATGTGTGCGTTTAACTCAAGGAGTTTAAGCTTTCTTTTCATAGAGTAGTTTGGAAACACTCTGTCTGTAAAGTCTGCAAGCAGATATTTAGACCTCTTTGAGGCCTTCGTTGGAAACGGGATTTCTTCATAGAACGCTAGAAAGAAGAATACTGAGTAAGTTCTTTGTGTTGTCTCTATTCAACTCACAGAGGTGAACTGTCCTTTAGACAGAGCAGATGTGAAACCCTCTTTTTGTGATATTTGCAGGTGGAGATTTCAAGCGCTTTTAGGCCAAAGGTAGAAAAGGAAACATCTTCGTATAAAAACTAGACAGAATCATTCACAGAAACTACTTTGTGATGTGTGTGTTCAACTCAAGGAGGTTAACCTTTCTTTTGATGGAGCAGTTGGGAAACACTCTGTCTGTAAAGTCTGCAAGCAGATATTTGGACCTCTTTGAGGCCTTCGTTGGAAACGGGATTGCTTCATATAATGTTTGATAGGAGAAGTCTCAGTAACTTCTTTTTGCTGTGTGTATTCAACTCATAGAGTTGGACTTTCCTTTAGAAGAGTAGATGTTAAACACCATTTTTGTGGAATTTGCAGCTGGAGATTTCAAGCGCTTTGAGGCCTACGGTAGAAAAGGAAACATCTTCTTATAAAATCTAGACAGAAATCATTCTCAGAAACTACTTTGTGATGTGTGCGTTCAATTCACAGAGTATAACCTTTCTTTTGATGGAGCAGTTTGGAAACACTCTGTTTGTAATGTCTGCAAGTGGATATTTGGACCTCTTTGAGGCCTTCGTTGGAAACGGGATTTCTTCAAGTAGTGTTCGAAAGAAGAATTCTCAGTAACTTATTTGTGGTGTGTGTATTCAACTCACAGAGTTGAACCTTCCTTTAGACAGAGCAGATTTGAAACACCCTATTTGTGCAGTTTCCAGTTGGAGATTTCAATCGCTTTGAGACCAAATGTAGAAAAGGAAACATCTTCGTATAAAAACTAGACAGAATCATTCTCAGAAACTACTTTGTGATGTGTGCGTTCAACTCAAGGAGTTTAAGCTTTCTTTTCATAGAGTAGTTTGGAAACACTCTGTCTGTAAAGTCTGCAAGCAGATATTTGGACCTCTTTGAGGCCTTCGTTGGAAACGGGATTTCTTCATAGAACGGTAGAAAGAAGAATACTGAGTAAGTTCTTTGTGTTGCCTCTATTCAACTCACAGAGGTGAACTGTCCTTTAGACAGAGCAGATGTGAAACCCTCTTTTTGTGATATTTGCAGGTGGAGATTTCAAGCGCTTTTAGGCCAAATGTAGAAAAGGAAATATCCTCGTATAAAAACTAGACAGAATCATTCTCAGAAACTACTTTGTGATGTGTGCGTTCAATTCACAGAGTATAACCTTTCTTTTGATGGAGGAGTTTGGAGACACTGTCTTTGTAAAGTCTGCAAGTGGATATTTGGACCTCTTTGAGGCCTTCGTTGGAAACGGGATTTCCTCATATAATGTTACCCAGAAGAATTCTCAGTAACTTATTTGTGGTGTGTGTATTCAACTCACAGAGTTGAACCTTCCTTCAGAAAGAGCAGATTTGAAACACTCTTTTTGTGGAGTTTCCATGTGGAGATTTCAATCGCATTGAGACCAAAGGTAGAAAAGGAAACATCTTCGTATAAAAACTAGACAGAATCATTCACAGAAACTACTTTGTGATGTGTGTGTTCAACTCAAGGAGTTTAACCTTTCTTTTGATGGAGCAGTTTGGAAACACTCTGTCTGTAAAGTCTGCAAGCAGATATTTGGACCTCTTTGAGGCCTTCGTTGGAAACGGGATTTCTTCATATAATGTTTGATAGGAGAAGTCTCAGTAACTTCTTTGTGCTGTGTGTATTCAACGCATAGAGTTGAACTTTCCTTTAGAAGAGCAGATGTTAAACACCCTTTTTGTGGAATTTGCAGCTGGAGATTTCCAGCGCTTTGTGGCCTACGGTAGAAAAGGAAACATCTTTTTATAAAATCTAGACAGAATCATTCACAGGAACTTCTTTTTGATGTGTGTGTTCAGCTCACAGAGTTTAACCTTTCTTTTGATGGAGCAGTTTGGAAACACTCTGTAATGTCTGCAAGTGGATATTTGGACCTCTTTGAGGCCTTCGTTGGAAACGGGATTTCTTCATGTAATGTTCGACAGAAGAATTCTCAGTAACTTATTTGTGGTGTGTGTATTCAACTCACAGGGTTGAACCTTCCTTTAGACAGAGCAGATTTGAAACACCCTATTTGTGCAGTTTCCAGTTGGAGATTTCAATCGCTTTGAGACGAAATGTAGAAAAGGAAACATCTTCGTATAAAAACTAGACAGAATCATTCTCAGAAACTACTTTGTGATGTGTGCGTTCAACTCAAGGAGTTTAAGCTTTCTTTTCATAGAGTAGTTTGGAAACACTCTGTAAAGTCTGCAAGCAGATATTTGGACCTCTTTGAGGCCTTCTTTGGAAACGGGATTTCTTCATAGAACGCTAGAAAGAAGAATACTCAGTAACTTCTTTGTGTTGCCTCTATTCAACTCACAGAGGTGAACTGTCCTTTAGACAGAGCAGATGTGAAACCCTCTTTTTGTGATATTTGCAGGTGGAGATTTCAAGCGCTTTTAGGCCAAATGTAGAAAAGGAAATATCTTCGTATAAAAACTAGACAGAATCATTCTCAGAAACTACTTTGTGATGTGTGCGTTCAATTCACAGAGTATAACCTTTCTTTTGATGGAGGAGTTTGGAGACACTGTCTTTGTAAAGTCTGCATGTGAATATTTGGACCTCTTTGAGGCCTTCGTTGGAAACGGGATTTCCTCATATAATGTTACACAGAAGAATTCTCATTAACTTATTTGTGATGTGTGTATTCAACTCACAGAGTTGAACCTTCCTTCAGAAAGAGTAGATTTGAAACACTCTTTTTGTGGAGTTTCCATGTGGAGATTTCAATCGCTTTGAGACCAAAGGTAGAAAAGGAAACATCTTCGTATAAAAACTAGACAGAATCATTCACAGAAACTACTTGGTGATGTGTGTGTTCAACTCAAGGAGGTTAACCTTTCTTTTGATGGAGCAGTTTGGAAACACTCTGTCTGTAAAGTCTGCAAGGAGATATTTGGACCTCTTTGAGGCCTTCGTTGTAAACGGGATTTCTTCATATAATGTTTGATAGGAGAAGTCTCAGTAACTTCTTTGTGCTGTGTGTATTCAACTCATAGAGTTGAACTTTCCTTTAGAAGAGCAGATGTTAAACACCCTTTTTGTGGAATTTGCTGCTGGAGATTTCAAGCGCTTTGAGGCCTACGGTAGAAAAGGAAACTTCTTCTTATAAAATATAGACAGATAATCATTCACAGAAACTTCTTTTTGATGTGTGTGTTCAGCTCACAGAGTTTAACCTTTCTTTTGATGGAGCAGTTTGGAAACACACTGTTTGTAATGTCTGCAAGTGGATATTTGGACCTCTTTGAGGCCTTCGTTGGAAACGGGATTTCTTCATGTAATGTTCGACAGAAGAATTCTCAGTAACTTATTTGTGGTGTGTGTATTCAACTCACAGAGTTGAACCTTCCTTTAGACAGAGCAGATTTGAAACTCCCTATTTGTGCAGTTTCCAGTTGGAGATTTCAATCGCTTTGAGACCAAATGTAGAAAAGGAAACATCTTCGTATAAAAACTAGACAGAATCATTCTCAGAAACTACTTTGTAATGTGTGCGTTCAACTCAAGGAGTTTAAGCTTTCTTTTCATAGAGTAGTTTGGAAACACTCTGTCTGTAAAGACTGCAAGCAGATATTTGGACCTCTTTGGGGCCTTCGTTGGAAACGGGATTTCTTCATAGAACGCTAGAAAGAAGAATACTGAGTAAGTTCTTTGTGTTGCCTCTATTCAACTCACAGAGGTGAACTGTCCTTTAGACAGAGCAGATGTGAAACCCTCTTTTTGTGATATTTGCAGGTGGAGATTTCAAGCGATTTTAGGCCAAATGTAGAAAAGGAAATATCTTCGTATAAAAACTAGACAGAATCATTCTCAGAAACTACTTTGTGATGTGTGCGTTCAATTCACAGAGTATAACCTTTCTTTTGATGGAGGAGTTTGGAGACACTGTCTTTGTAAAGTCTGCAAGTGGATATTTGGATCTCTTTGAGGCCTTCGTTGGAAACGGGATTTCCTCATATAATGTTACACAGAAGAATTCTCAGTAACTTATTTGTGGTGTGTGTATTCAACTCACAGAGTTGAACCTTCCTTCAGAAAGAGCAGATTTGAAACACTCTTTTTGTGGAGTTTCCATGTGGAGATTTCAATCGCTTTGAGACCAAAGGTAGAAAAGGAAACATCTTCGTATAAAAACTAGACAGAATCATTCACAGAAACTACTTTGTGATGTGTGTGTTCAACTCAAGGAGGTTAACCTTTCTTTTGATGGAGCGGTTTGGAAAAACTCTGTCTGTAAAGTCTGCAAGCAGATATTTGGACCTCTTTGAGGCCTTCGTTGGAAACGGGATTTCTTCATATAATGTTTGATAGGAGAAGTCTCAGTAACTTCTTTGTGCTGTGTGTATTGAACTCATAGAGTTGAACTTTCCTTTAGAAGAGCAGATGTTAAACACCCTTTTTGTGTAATTTGCAGCTGGAGATTTCAAGCGCTTTGAGGCCTACGGTAGAAAAGGAAACATCTTCTTATAAAATCTAGACAGAATCATTCACAGAAACTTCTTTTCGATGTGTGTGTTCAGCTCACAGAGTTTAACCTTTCTTTTGATGGAGCAGTTTGGAAACACTCTGTTTGTAATGTCTGCAAGTGGATATTTGGACCTCTTTGAGGCCTTCGTTGGAAACGGGATTTCTTCAAGTAATGTTCGACAGAAGAATTCTCTGTAACTTATTTGTGGTGTGTGTATTCAACTCACAGAGTTGAACCTTCCTTTAGACAGAGCAGATTTGAAACACCCTATTTGTGCAGTTTCCAGTTGGAGATTTCAATCGCTTTGAGACCAAAAGTAGAAAAGGAAACATCTTCGTATAAAAACTAGACAGAATCATTCTCAGAAACTACTTTGTGATGTGTGCGTTCAACTCAAGGAGTTTAAGCTTTCTTTTCATAGAGTAGTTTGGAAACACTCTGTCTGTAAAGTCTGCAAGCAGATATTTGGACCTCATTGGGGCCTTAGTTGGAAACGGGATTTCTTCATTGAACGCTAGAAAGAAGAATACTGAGTAAGTTCTTTGTGTTGCCTCTATTCAACTCACAGAGGTGAACTGTCCTTTAGACAGAGCAGATGTGAAACCCTCTTTTTGTGATATTTGCAGGTGGAGATTTCAAGCGCTTTTAGGCCAAATGTATAAAAGGAAATATCTTCGTATAAAAACTAGACAGAATCATTCTCAGAAACTACTTTGTGATGTGTGCGTTCAATTCACAGAGTATAACCTTTCTTTTGATGGAGGAGTTTGGAGACACTGTCTTTGTAAAGTCTGCAAGTGGATATTTGGACCTCTTTGAGGCCTTCGTTGGAAACGGGATTTCCTCATATAATGTTACACAGAAGAATTCTCAGTAACTTATTTGTGGTGTGTTTATTCAACTCACAGAGGTGAACCTTCCTTCAGAAAGAGCAGATTTGAAACACTCTTTTTGTGGAGTTTCCATGTGGAGATTTCAATCGCTTTGAGACCAAAGGTAGAAAAGGAAACATCTTCGTATAAAAACTAGACAGAATCATTCACAGAAACTACTTTGTGATGTGTGTGTTCAACTCAAGGAGTTTAACCTTTCTTTTGATGGAGCAGTTTGGAAACACTCTGTCTGTAAAGTCTGCAAGCAGATATTTGGACCTCTTTGAGGCCTTCGTTGGAAACGGGATTTCTTCATATAATGTTTGATAGGAGAAGTCTCAGTAACTTCTTTGTGCTGTGTGTATTCAACTCATAGAGTTGAACTTTCCTTTAGAAGACCAGATGTTAAACACCCTTTTTGTGGAATTTGCAGCTGGAGATTTCAAGCGCTTTGAGGCCGACGGTAGAAAAGGAAACATCTTCTTATAAAATCTAGACAGAATCATTCACAGAAACTTCTTTTTGATGTGTGTGTTCAGCTCACAGAGTTTAACCTTTCTTTTGATGGAGCAGTTTGGAAACACTCTGTTTGTAATGTCTGCAAGTGGATATTTGGACCTCTTTGAGGCCTTCGCTGGAAACGGGATTTCTTCCTGTAATGTTCGACAGAAGAATTCTCAGTAACTTATTTGTGGTGTGTGTATTCAACTCACAGAGTTGAACCTTCCTTTAGACAGAGCAGATTTGAAACACCCTATTTGTGCAGTTTCCAGTTGGAGATTTCAATCGCTTTGAGACCAAATGTAGAAAAGGAAACATCTTCGTATAAAAACTAGACAGAATCATTCTCAGAAACTACTTTGTGATGTGTGCGTTCAACTCAAGGAGTTTAAGCTTTCTTTTCATAGAGTAGTTTGGAAACACTCTGTCTGTAAAGTCTGCAAGCAGATATTTGACCTCTTTGAGGCCTTCGTTGGAAACGGGATTTCTTCATAGAACGCTAGAAAGAAGAATACTGAGTAAGTTCTTTGTGTTGCCTCTATTCAACTCACAGAAGTGAACTGTCCTTTAGACAGAGCAGATGTGAAACCCTCTTTTTGTGATATTTGCAGGTGGAGATTTCAAGCGCTTTTAGGCCAAATGTAGAAAAGGAAATATCTTCGTATAAAAACTAGACAGAATCATTCTCAGAAACTACTTTGTGATGTGTGCGTTCAATTCACAGAGTATAACCTTTCTTTTGATGGAGGAGTTTGGAGACACTGTCTTTGTAAAGTCTGCAAGTGGATATTTGGACCTCTTTGAGGCCTTCGTTGGAAACGGGATTTCCTCATATAATGTTACACAGAAGAATTCTCAGTAACTTATTTGTGGTGTGTGTATTCAACTCACAGAGTTGAACCTTCCTTCAGAAAGAGCAGATTTGAAACACTCTTTTTGTGGAGTTTCCATGTGGAGATTTCAATCGCATTGAGACCAAAGGTAGAAAAGGAAACATCTTCGTATAAAAACTAGACAGAATCATTCACAGAAACTACTTTGTGATGTGTGTGTTCAACTCAAGGAGTTTAACCTTTCTTTTGATGGAGCAGTTTGGAAACACTCTGTCTGTAAAGTCTGCAAGCAGATATTTGGACCTCTTTGAGGCCCTCGTTGGAAACGGGATTTCTTCATATAATGTTTGATAGGAGAAGTCTCAGTAACTTCTTTGTGCTGTGTGTATTCAACTCATAGTAGTTGAACTTTCCTTTAGAAGAGCAGATGTTAAACACCCTTTTTGGGGAATTTGCAGCTGGAGGTTTCAAGCGCTTTGAGGCCTACTGTAGAAAAGGAAACATCTTCTTATAAAATCTAGACAGAATCATTCACAGAAACTTCTTTTCGATGTGTGTGTTTAGCTCACAGAGTTTAACCTTTCTTTTGATGGAGCAGTTTGGAAACACTCTGTTTGTAATGTCTGCAAGTGGATATTTGGACCTCTTTGAGGCCTTCGTTGGAAACGGGATTTCTTCAAGTAATGTTCGACAGAAGAATTCTCAGTAACTTATTTGTGGTGTGTGTATTCAACTCACAGAGTTGAACCTTCCTTTAGACAGAGCAGATTTCAAACTCCCTATTTGTGCAGTTTCCAGTTGGAGATTTCAATCGCTTTGAGACCAAATGTAGAAAAGGAAACATCTTCGTATAAAAACTAGACAGATAATCATTGTCAGAAACTACTTTGTGATGTGTGCGTTCAACTCACGGAGTTTAAGCTCTCTTTTCATAGAGTAGTTTGGAAACACTCTGTCTGTAAAGTCTGCAAGCAGATATTTGGACCTCTTTGAGGCCTTCGTTGGAAACGGGATTTCTTCATGTAACGCTAGAAAGAAGAATACTGAGTAAGTTCTTTGTGTTGCCTCTATTCAACTCACAGAGGTGAACTGTCCTTTAGACAGAGCAGATGTGAAACCCTCTTTTTGTGATATTTGCAGGTGGAGATTTCAAGCGCTTTTAGGCCAAATGTAGAAAAGGAAATATCTTCGTATAAAAACTAGACAGAATCATTCTCAGAAACTACTTTGTGATGTGTGCGTTCAATTCACAGAGTATAACCTTTCTTTTGATGGAGGAGTTTGGAGACACTGTCTTTGTAAAGTCTGCAAGTGGATATTTGGACCTCTTTGAGGCCTTCGTTGGAAACGGGATTTCCTCATATAATGTTACACAGAAGAATTCTCAGTAACTTATTTGTGGTGTGTGTATTCAACTCACAGAGTTGAACCTTCCTTCAGAAAGAGCAGATTTGAAACACTCTTTTTGTGGAGTTTCCATGTGGAGATTTCAATCGCTTTGAGACCAAAGGTAGAAAAGGAAACATCTTCGTATAAAAACTAGACAGAATCATTCACAGAAACTACTTTGTGATGTGTGTGTTCAACTCAAGGAGTTTAACCTTTCTTTTGATGGAGGAGTTTGGAAAAACTCTGTCTTTAAAGTCTGCAAGCAGATATTTGGACCTCTTTGAGGCCTTCGTTGGAAACGGGATTTCTTCATATAATGTTTGATAGGAGAAGTCTCAGTAACTTCTTTGTGCTGTGTGTATTCAACTCATAGAGTTGAACTTTCCTTTAGAAGAGCAGATGTTAAACACCCTTTTTGTGGAATTTGCAGCTGGAGATTTCAAGCGCTTTGAGGCCTACGGTAGAAAAGGAAACATCTTCTTATAAAATCTAGACAGAATCATTCACAGAAACTTCTTTTTCATGTGTGTGTTCAGCTCACAGAGTTTAACCTTTCTTTTGATGGAGCAGTTTTGAAACACTCTGTTTGTAATGTCTGCAAGTGGATATTTTGACCTCTTTGAGGCCTTCTTTGGAAACGGTATTTCTTCAAGTAATGTTCGACAGAAGAATTCTCAGTAACTTATTTGTGGTGTGTGTATTCAACTCAAAGAGTTGAACCTTCCTTTAGACAGAGCAGATTTGAAACACCCTATTTGTGCAGTTTCCAGTTGGAGATTTCAATCGCTTTGAGACCAAATGTAGAAAAGGAAACATCTTCGTATAAAAACTAGACAGAATCATTCTCAGAAACTACTTTGTGATGTGTGCGTTCAACTCAAGGAGTTTAAGCTTTCTTTTCATAGAGTAGTTTGGAAACACTCTGTCTGTAAAGTCTGCAAGCAGATATTTGGACCTCTTTGGGGCCTTCGTTGGAAACGGGATTTCTTCATAGAACGCTAGAAAGAAGAATACTGAGTAAGTTCTTTGTGTTGCCTCTATTCAACTCACAGAGGTGAACTGTCCTTTAGACAGAGCAGATGTGAAACCCTCTTTTTGTGATATTTGCAGGTTGGAGATTTCAAGCGCTTTTAGGCCAAATGTAGAAAAGGAAATATCTTCGTATAAAAACTAGACAGAATCATTCTCAGAAACTACTTTGTGATGTGTGCGTTCAATTCACAGAGTATAACCTTTCTTTTGATGGAGGAGTTTGGAGACACTGTCTTTGTAAAGTCTGCAAGTGGATATTTGGACCTCTTTGAGGCCTTCGTTGGAAACGGGATTTCCTCATATAATGTTACCCAGAAGAATTCTCAGTAACTTATTTGTGGTGTGTGTATTCAACTCACAGAGTTGAACCTTCCTTCAGAAAGAGCAGATTTGAAACACTCTTTTTGTGGAGTTTCATGTGGAGATTTCAATCGCTTTGAGACCAAAGGTAGAAAAGGAAACATCTTCGTATAAAAACTAGACAGAATCATTCACAGAAACTACTTTGTGATGTGTGTGTTCAACTCAAGGAGTTTAACCTTTCTTTTGATGGAGCAGTTTGGAAACACTCTGTCTGTAAAGTCTGCAAGCAGATATTTGGACCTCTTTGAGGCCTTCGTTGGAAACGGGATTTCTTCATATAATGTTTGATAGGAGAAGTCTCAGTAACTTCTTTGTGCTGTGTGTATTCAACTCATAGAGTTGAACTTTCCTTTAGAAGAGCAGATGTTAAACACCCTTTTTGTGGAATTTGCAGCTGGAGATTACAAGCGCTTTGAGGCCTACGGTAGAAAAGGAAACATCTTCTTATAAAATCTAGACAGAATAATTCACAGAAACTTCTTTTTGATGTGTGTGTTCAGCTCACCGAGTTTAACCTTTCTTTTGATGGAGCAGTTTGGAAACACTCTGTTTGTAATATCTGCAAGTGGATATTTGGACCTCTTTGGGGCCTTCGTTGGAAACGGGATTTCTTCAAGTAATGTTCGACAGAAGAATTCTCAGTAACTTATTTGTGGTGTGTGTATTCAACTCACAGAGTTGAACCTTCCTTTAGACAGAGCAGATTTGAAACACCCTATTTGTGCAGTATCCAGTTGGAGATTTCAATCGCTTTGAGACCAAATGTAGAAAAGGAAACATCTTCGTATAAAAACTAGACAGAATCATTCTCAGAAACTACTTTGTGATGTGTGCGTTCAACTCAAGGAGTTTAAGCTTTCTTTTCATAGAGTAGTTTGGAAACACTCTGTCTGTAAAGTCTGCAAGCAGATATTTGCACCTCTTTGAGGCCTTCGTTGGAAACGGGATTTCAACATATAACGCTAGAAAGAAGAATACTGAGTAAGTTCTTTGTGTTGCCTCTATTCAACTCACAGAGGTGAACTGTCCTTTAGACAGAGCAGATGTGAAACCCTCTTTTTGTGATATTTGCAGGTGGAGATTTCAAGCGCTTTTAGGCCAAATGTAGAAAAGGAAATATCTTTGTATAAAAACTAGACAGCATTCTCAGAAACTACTTTCTGATGTGTGCGCTCAATTCACTGAGTATAACCTTTCTTTTGATGGAGGAGTTTCGAGACACTGTCTTTGTAAAGTCTGCAAGTGGATATTTGGACCTCTTTGAGGCCTTCGTTGGAAACGGGATTTCCTCATATAATGTTACACAGAAGAATTCTCAGTAACTTATTTGTGGTGTGTGTATTCAACTCACAGATTTGAACCTTCCTTCAGAAAGAGCAGATTTGAAACACTCTTTTTGTGGAGTTTCCATGTGGAGATTTCAATCACTTTGAGACCAAAGGTAGAAAAGGAAACATCTTCGTATAAAAACTAGACAGAATCATTCACAGAAACTACTTTGTGATGTGTGTGTTCAACTCAAGGAGTTTAACCTTTCTTTTGATGGAGCAGTTTGGAAACACTCTGTCTGTAAAGTCTGCAAGCAGATATTTGGACCTCTTTGAGGCCTTCGTTGGAAACGGGATTTCTTCATATAATGTTTGATAGGAGAAGTCTCAGTAACTTCTTTGTGCTGTGTGTATTCAACTCATAGAGTTGAACTTTCCTTTAGAAGAGCAGATGTTAAACAACCTTTTTGTGGAATTTGCAGCTGGAGGATTTCAAGCGCTTTGAGGCCTACGGTAGAAAAGGAAACATCTTCTTATAAAATCTAGACAGAATCATTCACAGAAACTTCTTTTTGATGTGTGTTTTCAGCTCACAGAGTTTAACCTTTCTTTTGATGGAGCAGTTTGGAAACACTCTGTTTGTAATGTCTGCAAGTGGATATTTGGACCTCTTTGAGGCCTTCGTTGGAAACGGGATTTCTTCAAGTAATTTTCGACAGAAGAATTCTCAGTAACTTATTTGTGGTGTGTGTATTCAACTCACAGAGTTGAACCTTCCTTTAGACAGAGCAGATTTGAAACACCCTATTTGTGCAGTTTCCAGTTGGAGATTTCAATCGCTTTGAGACCAAATGTAGAAAAGGAAACATCTTCGTATAAAAACTAGACAGAATCATTCTCAGAAACTACTTTGTGATGTGTGCGTTCAACTCAAGGAGTTTAAGCTTTCTTTTCATAGAGTAGTTTGGAAACACTCTGTCTGTAAAGTCTGCAAGCAGATATTTGGACCTCTTTGAGGCCTTCGTTGGAAACGGGATTTCTTCATATAACGCGAGAAAGAAGAATACTGAGTAAGTTCTTTGTGTTGCCTCTATTCAACTCACAGAGGTGAACTGTCCTTTAGACAGAGCAGATGTGAAACCCTCTTTTTGTGATATTTGCAGGTGGAGATTTCAAGCGCTTTTAGGCCAAATGTAGAAAAGGAAATATCTTCGTATAAAAACTAGACAGAATCATTCTGAGAAACTACTTTGTGATGTGTGCGTTCAATTCACAGAGTATAACCTTTCTTCTGATGGAGGAGTTTGGAGACACTCTCTTTGTAAACTCTGCAAGTGGATATTTGGATCTCTTTGAGGCCTTCGTTTGAAACGGGATTTCCTCATATAATGTTACACAGAAGAATTCTCAGTAACTTATTTGTGGTGTGTGTATTCAACTCACAGAGTTGAACCTTCCTTCAGAAAGAGCAGATTTGAAACACTCTTTTTGTGGAGTTTCCATGTGGAGATTTCAATCGCATTGAGACCAAAGGTAGAAAAGGAAACATCTTCGTATAAAAACTAGACAGAATCATTCACAGAAACTACTTTGTGATGTGTGTGTTCAACTCAAGGAGTTTAACCTTTCTTTTGATGGAGCAGTTTGGAAACACTCTGTCTGTAAAGTCTGCAAGCAGATATTTGGACCTCTTTGAGGCCTTCGTTGAAAACGGGATTTCTTCATATAATGTTTGATAGGAGAAGTCTCAGTAACTTCTTTGTGCTGTGTGTATTCAACGCATAGAGTTGAACTTTCCTTTAGAAGAGCAGATGTTAAACACCCTTTTTGTGGAATTTGCAGCTGGAGATTTCCAGCGCTTTGAGGCCTACGGTAGAAAAGGAAACATCTTCTTATAAAATCCAGACAGAATCATTCACAGAAACTTCTTTTAGATGTGTGTGTTCAGCTCACAGAGTTTAACCTTTCTTTTGATGGAGCAGTTTGGAAACACTCTGTTTGTAATGTCTGCAAGTCGATATTTGGACCTCTTTGAGGCCTTCGTTGGAAACGGGATTTCTTCAAGTAATGTTCGACAGAAGAATTCTCAGTAACTTATTTGTGGTGTGTGTATTCAACTCAAAGAGTTGAACCTTCCTTTAGACAGAGCAGATTTGAAACACCCTATTTGTGCAGTTTCCAGTTGGAGATTTCAATCGCTTTGAGACCAAATGTAGAAAAGGAAACATCTTCGTATAAAAACTAGACAGAATCATTCTCAGAAACTACTTTGTGATGTGTGCATTCAACTCAAGGAGTTTAAGCTTTCTTTTCATAGAGTAGTTTGGAAACACTCTGTCTGTAAAGTCTGCAAGCAGATATTTGGACCTCTTTGAGGACTTCGTTGGAAACGGGACTTCTTCATGTAACGCTAGAAAGAAGAATACTCAGTAAGTTCTTGGTGTTGCCTCTATTCAACTCACAGAGGTGAACTGTCCTTTAGACAGAGCAGATGTGAAACCCTCTTTTTGTGATATTTGCAGGTGGAGATTTCAAGCGCTTTTGGGCAAAATGTAGAAAAGGAAATATCTTCGTATAAAAACTAGACAGAATCATTCTCAGAAACTACTTTGTGATGTGTGCATTCAATTCACAGAGTATAACCTTTCTTTTGATGGAAGAGTTTGGAGACACTGTCTTTGTAAAGTCTGCAAGTGGATATTTGGACCTCTTTGAGGCCTTCGTTGGAAACGGGATTTCCTCATATAATGTTACACAGAAGAATTCTCAGTAACTTATTTGTGGTGTGTGTATTCAACTCACAGAGTTGAACCTTCCTTCAGAAAGAGCAGATGTGAAACACTCTTTTTGTGGAGTTTCCATGTGGAGATTTCAATCGCTTTGAGACCAAAGGTAGAAAAGGAAATATCTTCGTATAAAAACTAGACAGAATCATTCACAGAAACTACTTTGTGATGTGTGTGTTCAACTCAAGGAGTTTAACCTTTCTTTTGATGGAGCAGTTTGGAAACACTCTGTCTGTAAAGTCTGCAAGCAGATATTTGGACCTCTTTGAGGCCCTTCGTTGGAAACGGGATTTCTTCATATAATGTTTGATAGGAGAAGTCTCAGTAACTTCTTTGTGCTGTGTGTATTCAACTCATAGAGTTGAACTTTCCTTTAGAAGAGCAGATGTTAAACACCCTTTTTGTGGAATTTGCAGCTGGAGATTTCAAGCGCTTTGAGGCCTACGGTAGAAAAGGAAACATCTTCTTATAAAATCTAGACAGAATCATTCACAGAAACTTCTTTTTGATGTGTGTGTTCAGCTCACAGGATTTAACCTTTCTTTTGATGGAGCAGTTTGGAAACACTCTGTTTGTAATATCTGCAAGTGGATATTTGGACCTCTTTGAGGCCTTCGTTGGAAACGGGATTTCTTCAAGTTATGTTCGACAGAAGAATTCTCAGTAACTTATTTGTGGTGTGTGTATTCAACTCACAGAGTTGAACCTTCCTTTAGACAGAGCAGATTTGAAACACCCTATTTGTGCAGTTTCCAGTTGGAGATTTCAATCGCTTTGAGACCAAATGTAGAAAAGGAAACATCTTCGTATAAAAACTAGACAGAATCATTCTCAGAAACTACTTTGTGATGTGTGCGTTCAACTCAAGGAGTTTAAGCTTTCTTTTCATAGAGTAGTTTGGAAACACTCTGTCTGTAAAGTCTGCAAGCAGATATTTGGACCTCTTTGAGGCCTTCGTTGGAAACGGGATTTCTTCATAGAACGGTAGAAAGAAGAATACTGAGTAAGTTCTTTGTGTTGCCTCTATTCAACTCACAGAGGTGAACTGTCCTTTAGACAGAGCAGATGTGAAACCCTCTTTTTGGGATATTTGCAGGTGGAGATTTCAAGCGCTTTTAGGCCAAATGTAGAAAAGGAAATATCTTCGTATAAAAACTAGACAGAATCATTCTCAGAAACTACTTTGTGATGTGTGCGTTCAATTCACAGAGTATAACCTTTCTTTTGATGGAGGAGTTTGGAGACACTGTCTTTGTAAAGTCTGCAAGTGGATATTTGGACCTCTTTGAGGCCTTCGTTGGAAACGGGATTTCCTCATATAATGTTACACAGAAGAATTCTCACTAACTTATTTGTGGTGTGTGTATTCAACTCACAGAGATGAACCTTCCTTCAGAAAGAGCAGATTTGAAACACTCTTTTTGTGGAGTTTCCATGCGGAGATTTCAATCGCTTTGAGACCAAAGGTAGAAAAGGAAACATCTTCGTATAACAACTAGACAGAATCATTCACAGAAACTACTTTGTGATGTGTGTGTTCAACTCAAGGAGTTTAACCTTTCTTTTGATGGAGCAGTTTGGAAACACTCTGTCTGTAAAGTCTGCAAGCAGATATTTGGACCTCTTTGAGGCCTTCGTTGGAAACGGGATTTCTTCATATAATGTTTGATAGGAGAAGTCTCAGTAACTTCTTTGTGCTGTGTGTATTCAACTCATAGAGTTGAACTTTCCTTTAGAAGAGCAGATGTTAAACACCCTTTTTGTGGAATTTGCAGCTGGAGATTTCAAGCGCTTTGAGGCCTACGGTAGAAAAGGAAACATCTTCTTATAAAATCTAGACAGAATCATTCACAGAAACTTCTTTTTGATGTGTGTGTTCAGCTCACAGAGTTTAACCTTTCTTTTGATGGAGCAGTTTGGAAACACTCTGTTTGTAATGTCTGCAAGTGGATATTTGGACCTCTTTGAGGCCTTCTTTGGAAACGGGATTTCTTCAAGTAATGTTCGACAGAAGAATTCTCAGTAACTTATTTGTGGTGTGTGTATTCAACTCACAGAGTTGAACCTTCCTTTAGACAGAGCAGATTTGAAACACCCTATTTGTGCAGTTTCCAGTTGGAGATTTCAATCGCTTTGAGACCAAATGTAGAAAAGGAAACATCTTCGTATAAAAACTAGACAGAATCATTCTCCGAAACTACTTTGTGATGTGTGCGTTCAACTCAAGGAGTTTAAGCTTTCTTTTCATAGAGTAGTTTGGAAACACTCTGTCTGTAAAGTCTGCAAGCAGATATTTGGACCTTCTTTGGGGCCTTCGTTGGAAACGGGATTTCTTCATAGAACGCTAGAAAGAAGAATACTGAGTAAGTTCTTTGTGTTGCCTCTATTCAACTCACAGAGGTGAACTGTCCTTTAGACAGAGCAGATGTGAAACCCTCTTTTTGTGATATTTGCAGGTGGAGATTTCAAGCGCTTTTAGGCCAAATGTAGAAAAGGAAATATCTTCGTATAAAAACTAGACAGAATCATTCTCAGAAACTACTTTGTGATGTGTGCGTTCAATTCACAGAGTATAACCTTTCTTTTGATGGAGGAGTTTGGAGACACTGTCTTTGTAAAGTCTGCAAGTGGATATTTGGACCTCTTTGAGGCCTTCGTTGGAAACGGGATTTCCTCATATAATGTTACACAGAAGAATTCTCAGTAACTTATTTGTGGTGTGTGTATTCAACTCACAGAGATGAACCTTCCTTCAGAAAGAGCAGATTTGAAACACTCTTTTTGTGGAGTTTCCATGTGGAGATTTCAATCGCTTTGAGACCAAAGGTAGAAAAGGAAACATCTTCGTATAAAAACTAGACAGAATCATTCACAGAAACTACTTTGTGATGTGTGTGTTCAACTCAAGGAGTTTAACCTTTCTTTTGATGGAGCAGTTTGGAAACACTCTGTCTGTAAAGTCTGCAAGCAGATATTTGGACCTCTTTGAGGCCTTCGTTGGAAACGGGATTTCTTCATATAATGTTTGATAGGAGAAGTCTCAGTAACTTCTTTGTCCTGTGTGTATTCAACGCATAGAGTTGAACTTTCCTTTAGAAGAGCAGATGTTAAACACCCTTTTTGTGGAATTTGCAGCTGGAGATTTCAAGCGCTTTGAGGCCTACGGTAGAAAAGGAAACATCTTCTTACAAAATCTAGACAGAATCATTCACAGAAACTTCTTTTTGATGTGTGTGTTCAGCTCACAGAGTTTAACCTTTCTTTTGATGGAGCAGTTTGGAAACACTCTGTTTGTAATGTCTGCAAGTGGATATTTTGACCTCTTTGAGGCCTTCGCTGGAAACGGGATTTCTTCCTGTAATGTTCGACAGAAGAATTCTCAGTAACTTATTTGTGGTGTGTGTATTCAACTCACAGAGTTGAACCTTCCTTTAGACAGAGCAGATTTGAAACAGCCAATTTGTGCAGTTTCCAGTAGGAGATTTCAATCGCTTTGAGACCAAATGTAGTAAAGGAAACATCTTCGTATAAAAACTAGACAGAATCATTCTCAGAAACTACTTTGTGATGTGTGCGTTCAACTCAAGGAGTTTAAGCTTTCTTTTCATAGAGTAGTTTGGAAACACTCTGTCTGTAAACTCTGCAAGCAGATATTTGGACCTCTTTGGGGCCTTCGTTGGAAACGGGATTTCTTCATAGAACGCTAGAAAGAAGAATACTGAGTAAGTTCTTTGTGTTGCTTCTATTCAACTCACAGAGGTGAACTGTCCTTTAGACAGAGCAGATGTGAAACCCTCTTTTTGTGATATTTGCAGGTGGAGATTTCAAGCGCTTTTAGGCCAAATGTAGAAAAGGAAATATCTTCGTATAAAAACTAGACAGAATCATTCTCAGAAACTACTTTGTGATGTGTGCTGTTCAATTCACAGAGTATAACCTTTCTTTTGATGGAGGAGTTTGGAGACACTGTCTTTGTAAAGTCTGCAAGTGGATATTTGGACCTCTTTGAGGCCTTCGTTGGAAACGGGATTTCCTCATATAATGTTACACAGAAGAATTCTCAGTAACTTATTTGTGGTGTGTATATTCAACTCACAGAGATGAACCTTCCTTCAGAAAGAGCAGATTTGAAACACTCTTTTTGTGGAGTTTCCATGTGGAGATTTCAATCGCTTTGAGACCAAAGGTAGAAAAGGAAACATCTTCGTATAACAACTAGACAGAATCATTCACAGAAACTACTTTGTGATGTGTGTGTTCAACTCAAGGAGTTTAACCTTTCTTTTGATGGAGCAGTTTGGAAACACTCTGTCTGTAAAGTCTGCAAGCAGATATTTGGACCTCTTTGAGGCCTTCGTTGGAAACGGGATTTCTTCATATAATGTTTGATAGGGAGAAGTCTCAGTAACTTCTTTGTGCTGTGTGTATTCAACTCATAGAGTTGAACTTTCCTTTAGAAGAGCAGATGTTAAACACCCTTTTTGTGGAATTTGCAGCTGGAGATTTCAAGCGCTTTGAGGCCTACGGTAGAAAAGGAAACATCTTCTTATAAAATCTAGACAGAATCATTCACAGAAACTTCTTTTCGATGTGTGTGTTCAGCTCACAGAGTTTAACCTTTCTTTTGATGGAGCACTTTGGAAACACTCTGTTTGTAATGTCTGCAAGTGGATATTTGGACCTCTTTGAGGCCTTCGTTGGAAACGGGATTTCTTCAAGTAATGTTCGACAGAAGAATTCTCAGTAACTTATTTGTGGTGTGTGTATTCAACTCACAGAGTTGAACCTTCCTTTAGACAGAGCAGATTTGAAACACCCTATTTGTGCAGTTTTCAGGTGGAGATTTCAATCGCTTTGAGGCCAATCGTAGAAACGGAAATATCTTCGTATAAAAACAAGACAGAATCATTCTCAGAAACTACTTTGTGATGTGAGCGTTCAACTCAAGGAGTTTAAGCTTTCTTTTCATAAAGTAGTTTGGAAACACTGTCTGTAAAGTCTGCAAGCAGATATTTGGACCTCTTTGGGGCCTTCGTTGGAAACGGGATTTCTTCATAGAACGCTAGAAAGAAGAATACTGAGTAAGTTCTTTGTGTTGCCTCTATTCAACTCACAGAGGTGAACTGTCCTTTAGAAAGAGCAGATGTGAAACCCTCTTTTTGTGATATTTGCAGGTGGAGATTTCAAGCGCTTTTAGGCCAAATGTAGAAAAGGAAATATCTTCATATAAAAACTAGACAGAATCATTCTCAGAAACTACTTTGTGATGTGTGCGTTCAATTCACAGAGTATAACCTTTCTTTTGATGGAGGAGTTTGGAGACACTGTCTTTGTAAAGTCTGCAAGTGGATATTTGGACCTCTTTGAGGCCTTCGTTGGAAACGGGATTTCCTCATATAATGTTACCCAGAAGAATACTGAGTACGTTCTTTGTGTTGCCTCTATTCAACTCACAGAGGTGAACTGTCCTTTAGACAGAGCAGATGTGAAACCCTCTTTTTGTGATATTTGCAGGTGGAGATTTCAAGCGCTTTTAGGCCAAATGTAGAAAAGGAAATATCTTCGTATAAAAACTAGACAGAATCATTCTCAGAAACTACTTTGTGATGTGTGCGTTCAATTCACAGAGTATAACCTTTCTTTTGATGGAGGAGTTTGGAGACACTGTCTTTGTAAAGTCTGCAAGTGGATATTTGGACCTCTTTGAGGCCTTCGTTGGAAACGGGATTTCCTCATATAATGTTACATAGAAGAATTCTCAGTAACTTATTTGTGGTGTGTGTATTCAACTCACAGAGATGAACCTTCCTTCAGAAAGAGCAGATTTGAAACACTCTTTTTGTGGAGTTTCCATGTGGAGATTTCAATCGCTTTGAGACCAAAGGTAGAAAAGGAAACATCTTCGTATAACAACTAGACAGAATCATTCACAGAAACTACTTTGTGATGTGTGTGTTCAACTCAAGGAGTTTAACCTTTCTTTTGATGGAGCAGTTTGGAAACACTCTGTCTGTAAAGTCTGCAAGCAGATATTTGGACCTCTTTGAGGCCTTCGTTGGAAACGGGATTTCTTCATATAATGTTTGATAGGAGAAGTCTCAGTAACTTCTTTGTGCTGTGTGTATTCAACTCATAGAGTTGAAATTTCCTTTAGAAGAGCAGATGTTAAACACCCTTTTTGTGGAATTTGCAGCTGGAGATTACAAGCGCTTTGAGGCCTACAGTAGAAAAGGAAACATCTTCTTACAAAATCCAGACAGAATCATTCACAGAAACTTCTTTTTGATGTGTGTGTTCACCTCACAGAGTTTAACCTTTCTTTTGATGGAGCAGTTTGGAAACACTCTGTTTGTAATGTCTGCAAGTGGATATTTGGACCTCTTTGAGGCCTTCGTTGGAAACGGGATTTCTTCATGTAAAGTTCGACAGAAAAATTCTCAGTAACTTATTTGTGGTGTGTGTATTCAACTCACAGAGTTGAACCTTCCTTTTGACAGAGCAGATTTGAAACACCCTATTTGTGCAGCTTCCAGTTGGAGATTTCAATGGCTTTGAGGCCAATCATAGAAACGGAAATATCTTCGTATAAAAACAAGACAGAATCATTCTCAGAAACTACTTTGTGATGTGTGCGTTGAACTCAAGGAGTTTAAGCTTTCTTTTCATAGAGTAGTTTGGAAACACTCTGTCTGTAAAGTCTGGAAGCAGATATTTGGACTTCTTTGAGGCCTTCGTTGGAAACGGGATTTCTTCATATAACGCTAGAAAGAAGAATACTCAGTAACTTCTTTGTGTTGCCTCTATTCAACTCAGAGAGGTGAACTGTCCTTTAGACAGAGCAGATGTGAAACCCTCTTTTTGTGATATTTGTAGGTGGAGATTTGAAGCGCTTTTAGGCCAAATGTAGAAAAGGAAATATCTTCGTATAAAAACTAGACAGAATCATTCTCAGAAACTACTTTGTGATGTGTGCGTTCAATTCACAGAGTATAACCTTTCTTTTGATGGAGGAGTTTGGAGACACTGTCTTTGTAAAGTCTGCAAGCAGATATTTGGACCTCTTTGAGGCCTTCGTTGGAAACGGGATTTCTTCATATAATGTTTGATAGGAGAATTCTCAGTAACTTATTTGTGGTGTGTGTATTCAACTCACAGAGTTGAACCTTCCTTCAGAAAGAGCAGATTTGAAACACTCTTTTTGTGGAGTTTCCATGTGGAGATTTCAATCGCTTTGAGACCAAAGGTAGAAAAGGAAACATCTTCGTATAAAAACTAGACAGAATCATTCACAGAAACTACTTTGTGATGTGTGTGTTCAACTCAAGGAGTTTAACCTTTCTTTTGATGGAGCAGTTTGGAAACACTCTGTCTGTAAAGTCTGCAAGCAGATATTTGGACCTCTTTGAGGCCTTCGTTGGAAACGGGATTTCTTCATATAATGTTTGATAGGAGAAGTCTCAGTAACTTCTTTGTGCTGTGTGTATTCAACTCATAGAGTTGAACTTTCCTTTAGAAGAGCAGATGTTAAACACCCTTTTTGTGGAATTTGCAGCTGGAGATTTCAAGCGCTTTGTGGCCTACGGTAGAAAAGGAAATATGTTCTTATAAAATCTAGACAGAATCATTCACAGAAACTTCTTTTTGATGTGTGTGTTCAGCTCACAGAGTTTAACCTTTCTTTTGATGGAGCAGTTTGGAAACACTCTGTTTGTAATGTCTGCAAGTGGATATTTGGACCTCTTTGAGGCCTTCGTTGGAAACGGGATTTCTTCAAGTAATGTTCGACAGAAGAATTCTCAGTAACTTATTTGTGGTGTGTGTATTCAACTCACAGAGTTGAACCTTCCTTTAGACAGAGCAGATTTGAAACAGCCTATTTGTGCAGTTTCCAGTTGGAGATTTCAAGAGCTTTGAGACCAAATGTAGAAAAGGAAACATCTTCGTATAAAAACTAGACAGAATCATTCTCAGAAACTACTTTGTGATGTGTGCGTTCAACTCAAGGAGTTTAAGCTTTCTTTTCATAGAGTAGTTTGGAAACACTCTGTCTGTAAAGTCTGCAAGCAGATATTTGGACCTCTTTGAGGCCTTCGTTGTAAACGGGATTTCTTCATAGAACGCTAGAAAGAAGAATACTGAGTACGTTCTTTGTGTTGCCTCTATTCAACTCACAGAGGTGAACTGTCCTTTAGACAGAGCAGATGTGAAACCCTCTTTTTGTGATATTTGCAGGTGGAGATTTCAAGCGCTTTTAGGCCAAATGTAGAAAAGGAAATATCTTCGTATAAAAACTAGACAGAATCATTCTCAGAAACTACTTTGTGATGTGTGCATTCAATTCACAGAGTATAACCTTTCTTTTGATGGAGGAGTTTGGAGACACTGTCTTTGTAAAGTCTGCAAGTGGATATTTGGACCTCTTTGAGGCCTTCGTTGGAAACGGGATTTCCTCATATAATGTTACACAGAAGAATTCTCAGTAACTTATTTGTGGTGTGTGTATTCAACTCACAGAGTTGAACCTTCCTTCAGAAAGAGCAGATTTGAAACACTCTTTTTGTGGAGTTTCCATGTGGAGATTTCAATCGCTTTGAGACCAAAGGTAGAAAAGGAAACATCTTCGTATAAAAACTAGACAGAATCATTCACAGAAACTACTTTGTGATGTGTGTGTTCAACTCAAGGAGTTTAACCTTTCTTTTGATGGAGCAGTTTGGAAAAACTCTGTCTGTAAAGTCTGCAAGCAGATATTTGGACCTCTTTGAGGCCTTCGTTGCAAACGGGATTTCTTCATATAATGTTTGATAGGAGAAGTCTCAGTAACTTCTTTGTGCTGTGTGTATTCAACTCATAGAGTTGAACTTTCCTTTAGAAGAGCAGATGTTAAACACCCTTTTTGTGGAATTTGCAGCTGGAGATTTCAAGCGCTTTGAGGCCTACGGTAGAAAAGGAAACATCTTCTTATAAAATCTAGACAGAATCATTCACAGAAACTTCTTTTTGATGTGTGTGTTCAGCTCACAGAGTTTAACCTTTCTTTTGATGGAGCAGTTTGGAAACACTCTGTTTGTAATGTCTGCAAGTGGATATTTTGACGTCTTTGAGGCCTTCGTTGGAAACGGGATTTCTTCATGTAATGTTCGACAGAAGAATTCTCAGTAACTTATTTGTGGTGTGTGTATTCAACTCACAGAGTTGAACCTTCCTTTAGACAGAGCAGATTTGAAACACCCTATTTGTGCAGTTTCCAGTTGGAGATTTCAATCGCTTTGAGACCAAATGTAGAAAAGGAAACATCTTCGTATAAAAACTAGACAGAATCATTCTCAGAAACTACTTTGTGATGTGTGCGTTCAACTCAAGGAGTTTAAGCTTTCTTTTCATAGAGTAGTTTGGAAACACTCTGTCTGTAAAGTCTGCAAGCAGATATTTGGACCTCTTTGGGGCCTTCGTTGGAAACGGGATTTCTTCATAGAACGCTAGAAAGAAGAATACTGAGTAAGTTCTTTGTGTTGCCTCTATTCAACTCACAGAGGTGAACTGTCCTTTAGACAGAGCAGATGTGAAACCCTCTTTTTGTGATATTTGCAGGTGGAGATTTCAAGCGCTTTTAGGCCAAATGTAGAAAAGGAAATATCTTCGTATAAAAACTAGACAGAATCATTCTCAGAAACTACTTTGTGATGTGTGCTGTTCAATTCACAGAGTATAACCTTTCTTTTGATGGAGGAGTTTGGAGACACTGTCTTTGTAAAGTCTGCAAGTGGATATTTGGACCTCTTTGAGGCCTTCGTTGGAAACGGGATTTCCTCATATAATGTTACACAGAAGAATTCTCAGTAACTTATTTGTGGTGTGTGTATTCAACTCACAGAGTTGAACCTTCCTTCAGAAAGAGCAGATTTGAAACACTCTTTTTGTGGAGTTTCCATGTGGAGATTTCAATCGCATTGAGACCAAAGGTAGAAAAGGAAACATCTTCGTATAAAAACTAGACAGAATCATTCACAGAAACTACTTTGTGATGTGTGTGTTCAAATCACAGAGTTTAACCTTTCTTTTGATGGAGCAGTTTGGAAACACTCTGTTTGTCACGTCTGCAAGTGGATATTTGGACCTCTTTGTGGCCTTAGTTGGAAACGGGATTTCTTCCTATAATGTTTGATAGGAGAAGTCTCAGTAACTTCTTTGTGCTGTGTGTATTCAACTCATGGAGTTGAACTTTCCTTTAGAAGAGCAGATGTTAAACACCCTTTTTGTGGAATTTGCAGCTGGAGATTTCAAGCGCCTTGAGGCCTACGGTAGAAAAGGAAACATCTTCTTCTAAAATCTAGACAGAATCATTCACAGAAACTTCTTTTTGATGTGTGTGTTCAGCTCACAGAGTTTAACCTTTCTTTTGATGGAGCAGTTTGGAAACACTCTGTTTGTAATGTCTGCAAGTGGATATTTGGACCTCTTTGAGGCCTTCTTTGGAAACGGGATTTCTTCAAGTAATGTTCGACAGAAGAATTCTCAGTAACTTATTTGTGGTGTGTGTATTCAACTCAAAGAGTTGAACCTTCCTTTAGACAGAGCAGATTTGAAACACCCTATTTGTGCAGTTTCCAGTTGGAGATTTCAATCGCTTTGAGACCAAATGTAGAAAAGGAAACATCTTCGTATAAAAACTAGACAGAATCATTCTCAGAAACTACTTTGTGATGTGTGCGTTCAACTCAAGGAGTTTAAGCTTTCTTTTCATAGAGTAGTTTGGAAACACTCTGTCTGTAAAGTCTGCAAGCAGATATTTGGACCTCTTTGGGGCCTTCGTTGGAAACGGGATTTCTTCATAGAACGCTAGAAAGA